>NC_000017.11:7915353-8066868 GCF_000001405.40 Homo sapiens | reverse complement strand
TCACCTAGGATAAGTTGAATTTGAGAAAACTGGAATACTAAAGAATGCTGGATACCAGAACGGCCCGTCCTTCCGGGCTTCCGCTCAGAGAGGCCCTTTTGATTCCCTGCCAAAACTCACCAGTCCCGGGTCCCATTCTCCTGCTACTTTGTCACAAGGCAGTGTAGATGATTTGTTAAACCAGAGTGATCATTTAATAAGAGGTTGCATTGCTTTGGGGCGTGGCACTGGTGCTAGGGTTTCTGAACCAAGAGTTTGACCTGTATAGTTTAAATGCATCGTGCACCCAGCGGCAACAAGGATATTGGAGAGTGAGCACTACTGAATCTTCCAGCTTGGTTTGCTTGTTTGTTTATTTATTTATTTATTTATTCGGAGTTTCGCTCTTTCGCCCAGGCTGGAGTGAAGTGGCGCAATCTCGGCTCACTACAACCTCTGCCTCCCAGGTTCAAGCAACTCTCCTGCGTCAGACTCCTGAGTAGCTGAGATTACAGGTGCCTGCCACCATGCGTGGCTAATTTTTGTATTTTTAGTAGAGACGGGGTTTTGCTGTGTTGGTCAGGCTGGTCTCAAACTCCTGACCTCAGGTGATCCACCTGCCTCGGCCTCCTAAGCTTAGTTTCCTTCCTTCCTTCCTTTCTTTCTTCCTTTCTTTCTATAGTCTCTCTCTGTCGCCCAGGCTGGAGTGCAGTGGTGCGATCTCCGCTCACTGCTAGCTTTGCCTCCTGGGTTCATGCCATTCTCCTGCCTCAGCCTCCAGAGTAGCTGGGACTACAGGCACCCGCCACCACCCTGGCTAATTTTGTTTTTGTATTTTTAGTAGAGACAGGGTTTCACCATGTTAGCCAGGATGGTCTCGATCTCCTGACCTTGTGATCCTCCTCACCCTGCCTGGCCTGCCTCGGCCTTCCAAAGTGCTGGGATTACAGGCGGGAGCCACCATGCCCCACCCAAGCTTGATTTATTTTCAAGTCTGCATGCCTAGGCCCCCAAGCAAGCAGGCACAATTTTGGAAGGAAAAAGTCTTTCTGCTTCAGCCTTTTTTTCCCCTTAAATTGCTGAGGATATTCAAGGACAGGTGTTCCCAGTGTTGGGGACAGTTTGAAGAAGTAGGTATGAAGTGGGGTGTAGATCAGTACACAGACCCCAGTCCCCTGACTGAATTTCAGCTGCCTCAGGAGCTTGGCTTCCTGTGGGACCGAAGTCACGGGCATCCAGAGAGGGCAGAAAAGTAGCATTGGTGCTTGCCTTGGCAAAGAAGCAAAGTTGTTAGAACTTACTTTGGCCATTCTTTTGGAAGCCCTGATAGGTGAGAATGGCTGGGCAAACATGGGCAATTACCCCACGATGAGAGAGGACATGTTGGGTGGGGCATCCTCCCAGGGTCCTTCAGCCCTGACCTTCTTCCCACACAGAAGCCACTGCTGGGCTGGGCGTGGTGGCTCACCCCTGTAATCCCAACACTTTGGGAGGCTGAGGTGGGCAGATCAGGAGGTCAGGAGTTCGAGACCAGCCTGACCAACATGGTGAAACCCCGTCTCTCCTAAAAATACAAAAATTAGCCAGGTGTGGTAGTGGGTGCCTGTAGTCCCAGCTACTCAGGAGGCTGAGGCAGGAGAATCGCTTGAACCCAGGAGGCAGAGGTTGCAGTGAGCCGAGCACAATGGCAGGACGTGCACATTCTCAGGGCAGAAGTGAGCTTCTTCAAAGGACAGGTAGGAACTGGTGGCAGCACAGAACAAGTCCTGTGATTTCCAGAATGTTCTAATTTTGGCTTTCTGGTTCTCAGTCCCACAAGGTTGCCACCAAGGACCCTCTTGCCCTGCTGCAGCCACCTCGCCCTTCCTCCCTCACCCTGCGGACCTGACACCTTGGTGTGGGGAAGATGAAGGTACACTGATCCCTTTTCCAGACCCCTGGCTGCCCAGCAGTCCTGCAGTTTCAGGGCAGTGTTCCTGCAGAAACAAAGACAGAATGGCCCAGGCTGTGGAGGGGATCCAGGTGCAGAAAGGGAGATCTTAGCCCCCAGCCTCTCCCCTCCTCTCCCCAGACCTGGGGTGGGAGCATCTTTGAACCAGGGTGTTGGCCAGCCCCTGGCCTCTGCGTCTGCTTTGCCTCTTCCCCCAGGGATGGAGAAGCCCTGCCCACTCCACCTTCCCCCCACGGCAGACCCTGCTTCAGCACCTGCTTCAGCACCTGAGGTCGTCCCCATCCGTTCACTGAGCCCCAACTCAACAGCCCAGGCCAGAGGGGACCAAAGAGTAAAGTCGGTGGGAAGAGGAAAGAGAAGACATAGCTACACCCACCACCCCCAATACTGGGCCACGATGTTCTGCCCCCAACCCCTCTGCTTCACAGGCCTGTTCTCTTTCCACCAGCTTCTCCCTCTTCCACTCACTGATCCACCACTCAACTTCCCCACCTAATCCTCTTGTCAGAGCCGGTGCTCCCCTCCCCCACTTATCTTCCATCCTCCCCTCCCTGAGTATGGTTCCTCCCAACCATCCCACCTCCTCCTTCCCGTGCCCCTCATGTCACCTTTCTGCCTCCCCCCTCCCCACTGTGTCCACACCAGCCCCCCTCCCCTGACCCATGACCACCCTGGTCCCCCTCGCTCCCTCCATGCCCCTCCTGCAGCCCCGGCCCTGCCCTTTGCCTGCCCCCTCCAGCCACTGGTAAGGGGGAGCGGAGGGGGTCCCCAGCAGCCTCAGCTGGACCCAGCGGCAGACCCCGGAGTCTGGGCCGGACCTAGAGGGGGCGAGGCAGCGTGGCGGGGGGCGGGGGGCGGAGGGGGTAGGGGTGAGGTGGGGGAGGCGGGGAGGCCGGCGGGGGGAGGGGTGGCAGAGGGGAGGGGAGGCGGGGGACGCCTTGTGCAAACGCAGCAGCAGCACCTGGCCCGAGTCCTCAGGGAGCGTCACCTGGAGGTCTTCCTTTCGGGGGGCGGGGGAGTGGGCAGAGGGAGAAGGCATAGTAAAGAGTGGCTTATTACCTTTTGTTCCCCAGGACGCTTCCCCTTTCCACACTCTCATTCCGGAGGTCGCCATAAGCAACTTCCACAATTCTGGATGTTCCAGACCCACGACCGGACTAATTTTTGGTGGAGGGGGAGCAGTATCTTTATCTTCCCACTTTAATGGGTATGTTGATTCAAATCTTCTAACTAAAGTGGGGGGATTATATGGATCATTTCTATATTCGATCATAAAGGAGTCCCCAGCGCACCCAGCGTTTTGTCCGGTGCAATTTCTAGCAAAAGATTCCTTAGGAGCCCAGTCTATAATGACCCCATGAGAACCATTTCGCAAAACTACCGCATTATCTGCCACACAAACCTCCCAAGTAAGAATTTCTCATTTTTCTGACCATTCTGGATTCCTTTTAGGGCAAGCCAATCCCTTAGGCTTGCAATTTTGGACTTTTATATTTGACTGATAATAACTATCCCCTTAAGTTTTTACAGTCCTGATGGGTTGAAAAGACATTCCACTCACTACGTGATAACTAGGTTGAGAACGATTATGAGGAGGTACGTAGACCATCCAACTTTGTATTTGTAATGGCAAACATCCAGGAGCAATTCCTAAACAAACTGGAGGGTATTTATACCCAATTATCCCATTCATTAACATGCCCTCCTCCTCAGGCTATGCAGGACAGCTATCATAAGTCGGCCCAGGCATCCAGATACTACCATTTGTATAAACTTCAGTAGGGGAGTCCATCCAAGTGACAGGTCTAATCAAAGGAGGAAATGGAACATAAGCCCAGTAGTAAAATTTTGCTTAGCTGAAACAGCAGAGAGACTTACCGCCGTGGTGATTACCATCAAGGCAGCCAAGATCATATTACCCGGTGTAATCGCTAGTTGTTTCTCCTTTAGGGTGTCCTCTGCCAATTGAGTCAGCTTCTTTATCTGTCCCCATGTCAGTGGTGTAGCCTAGCGAGTCTTCTCCGTCTTCTGTTTTTTCTCCGAGACGCTCAGCTTCACCATTTTCCTCAGCTCCCGAAAAGACAGGTCGAAGGGACCGGTCTTCTTTCTCTTTTGATTCTTTCCTTTTTTCTGACCGGTCGGTGTAGGGTTCATTGTAGAATTTTAAATGTCTATTGGGTATCCAAATGAGTGTTTGATTGTCTCTTGGTGAAACACAAGGAAAACCCCTCCCCCAAGTAATACTTTTTCTTAATTTCCAAGTTTTGGTTCTGGTATCCTTCCACCAGACCATTTTTCCTTTCTGTGGCACACCCATGACTGCAAAACAAGATAATAAATGTCGTTTTACGTGAGCTGTGCTTTCTCCAGTTTGGCGTGTAGCCCAGATAAACCGAGAAAAAGTATTAACAGTAACATGTACGAAAGAAAGTTTTCCGAATGATGGGACATGAGTCATGTCCATTTGCCACACTGCATTTGGTTGAAGCCCCCTAGGGTTACCTTCAGGTTTTTGGGTGGGTAGCTGTAGCACTTGGCACTGAGGATGTTGTACTATATTTTTAGCTTGTTTCCAGGTAAATGAATATTTATTTTTTAATCCAGCAGCATTTACATGAATTAGGGAATGGAAGTTTTGAGCTTTTGTTCGCGTCTGTGTGAAGAGACCACCAAACAGGCTTTGTGTGAGCAACAAGGCTGTTTATTTCACCTGGGTGCAGGTGGGCTGAGTCCGAAAAGAGAGTCAGCGAAGGGAGATAGGGGTGGGGCCCTTTTATAGGATTTGGGTAGGTAGTGGAAAATTACAGTCAAAGGGGGTTGTTCTCTGGCGGGCAGGGGCGGGGGTTGCAAGGTGCTCAGTAGGGGAGCTTCTGAGCCAGGAGAAGGAATTTCACAAGGTAATGTCATCAGTTAAGGCAGAAACCAGCCATTTTCACGTCTTTTGTGATTCTTCAGTTGCTTCAGGGCATCTGGATGTATACGTGCAGGTCATAGGGGATATGATGGCTTAGCTTGGGCTCAGAGGCCGGACACTGTTAGAACAGGCGTCACTAATAAATTTGCTTGATTATTTAATAGGGTTAAAGGTCCTGGTAAGTTTGTGTGAGCCTAAATATGTGTAATATAAAAGGGAAAATTTTGAGTCCTAACTGCTTGTTGAAGTGAACTAAACAAGAAATTTAACTGATCATCAGAAATATGTTTTACTAAAGCTGTTTTTACCATTTTGGCAGCTTGGAATACGTAAGCAGAGTCAGAGATTATATTAACAGGTTGATTACAATCTTCCAATACAGATATAACTGCTTGTAGCTCAGCTCTTTGTGCAGAATGAAACTGAGTTTGAATAATCTTTTCTTCCGGTCCTGTATAAGCTGCTTTTCCATTCTGAGAGCCATCAGTAAAGATAGTTACGGCTCCCTCCAAAGGAATGGAACTAGTTATTTTGGGTAAAATTTAGGTAGTCAATTTTTAGGAACTGAAACATTTTAGTTTTAGGGTAATGAATATCTATACTGCCAACAAAATCAGCCAGATTTGACTGCCATTCTGACGAATTAATAAAGGCTTGTCGAACCTGTGCTTTGTTTAAAGGAACTACATTTTTATCTCGATCGGTGCCAATGAGTCTGACTATTCTCAGTTGTATTTGGCCTATAAGAATAGCTATTTGATCTAAATAAATTGAGAAAGTTCTAGTCGTACTGTGCGTTAAAAAGGACAATTTAACTAAGTCAACATTTTGAACAATCACTCCTATAGGAGAATGGAGAGTAGGGAACACTAAGAGCTGTAATGGAACACTAGGATCTCTTCTACGGACTTGAGCACTTTGAATTTTTTCCTCAATCATTTGTAACTCTTCAGCTGCAGCAGGCATCAGAGTTCTTTTGCTACATGAATTTGGATCCCATCTCAGCAAAGCAAACAGTTTAGACATTGCTTAGGTGGGAATTCCTAAAGTAGGTCTTATCCAATTAACGTCCCCTAATAATTTTTGGAAATCATTTAAGGTTTTTAAGGACTCTTTACGAATTTCCTCCTTTTGAGGCTTTACTGTTTTCTCCTGTACCCTCATTCCCAGGTAATGATAGGGTGTAGTATGGATTTTATCTGGTGCTATAGCGAGACCTGTAAGTCCCACCACTTCTTGTAGCCTAGCAAAACACTCAATCCGTCTGTCCCTGCTTGCAGCAGCACATAAAATGTCATCAACATAATGAATAATATAGCAATCAGGAAACTGATCCCTGACAAGCTGAATAACCTTTCCAACAAAAGTTTGACTATTTAACATTCCTTGGGGTACAACTTTCCATCGATATATAGTAGCTGGTTCCTTGTTATTCATGGCAGGTATTGTAAATGCAAATTTCTCAAAATCCTGAGGAGCCAAAGGAATAGTAAAAAACACAATCTTTTAGATCAATTATTACCATCGGCCATTCTTTTGGGATCATGGCCGGAGATGGCAACCCTGGTTGGAGAGCTCCCATCGGTTGAATGGCTGCGTTAACCGCTCATAAGTCGGTCAATATGCGCCATCTAGCGAATTTTTTCTGAATTACAAAAACTGGGGCGTTCCATGGTGAAAAAGATGGTTCAATATGTCCTTTGTCTAATTGTTCTTTTGCCAATGAATGTAATGCCTCCAGTTTTTGTTGAGGAAGCGGCCACTGATCAACCCAAACAGGTTTTGGAGTTTTCCGTTTTAATGCAATGGGCTTTGGAGGCTCAACAGTGGCCGCACCTAAGAAGGATATCCAATTCCTCTTCGGTCAAATTTAACTGAGACCTCAATCGGCTGGGTTATTCCGTCCTCATTTTTTTCCTAATCCTTTCCCAGGAATATATCCCATTTTGGTCATCATTCTTTGGCTCTCAGGACTGTAAATTGCAGGGGGAATGGTGATTTCTGTACCCCATTGCTGTAACAAATCTCTCCCCTACAAATTAATGGGAATGAAAGTAATCATAGGTTGGATGGTGACTTCCTGCCCATCTGGTCTTAAACGATGTAAAATTGTAGCACTTTGATAGACTTCAGATGCTGTGCCTACTCCAATCAAGCCCATAGAAGCCTTTTGTCGGGGCCACGCTTTTGGCCACTGATTTAGAGCTATAATTGAAATATTAGCACCTGTGTCTACCAGTCCTTCAAACTGTTTTCCCTGAATCATTGTGCACACAGGTCTGTTTTTAGAAGCTTGATTTACTCAATAGGCTGCTTTTCCTTCACTGTCAGTACTGCCAAAACCACTTTCTCTTTTTACTGTACTTTTTTCTACTATTACATAAGGTAATAACAACAGCTGAGCAATTCTATCTCCTGGGTTTGCACTCCAAGGAATACTGGAACTAATAACCAATTGAATTTCTCCCACAAAATCTGAATCAATCAGCCCAGTATGAATCTGAACTCCTTTTAAGTTTAGACTAGATGTTCCTAAAACAAGTCCAACTGTCCATCAGGTAAAGGGCCAAATACTCCAGTGGGGACTTTTTGAGGGGATTTCCCTGGAAGCAGAGAGATAGCTTTTGGGAAACATAAATCTAAGCCTGTACTCCCTGCTGTAGCTGGCGCCAATTGTGTTACTGTGGTGGTTGGGCAAGAGACAATGATGGTGGTTGGACTAGAGGCAATGACCGACTGAGGGACCAACTGCTGGAGTGAGAATGCCCCCGTTTGGAGCGGGGCCTGAGGCTGGCCCCTCTTCCTGTTTCCCGACTGCGGTTGTAACGGTTGGCCATTTTTGTCAAATTTGAAGTGACACTGATTAGCCCAATGTTTACCCTTCTGGCACCTGGGACATAAGCCAGGTGGTTCTTTTATTTGATTATATCTTGCCTGTTTGTTCGATTTGTTCTTACGTTCCTTTTTTGTGTGTCCAAATTGCCCACAATTGTAACAATTGCCTGAAAAGTTTTTAATTGGACCTCCCACTTTTAACTCTGTCGTGGCTTGAACCATTATCATAGCCTTATGCATGATTCCACCAACTCCATTACATGCCCTGATATATTCATTAATCACATCAACTCCCACCGGAACCTTTCCTTTCACTGGGTGAATAGCTGACTGGCATTCAGGGTTAGTATTCTCACAAGCCAATAATTCTACAATCACCTTCCTGGCACTTTCTTTCTTTCTTTCTTTTTTTTTTTTTTTTTTTGAGGCGGAGTTTCGCTCTTGTTACCCAGGCTGGAGTGCAGTGGCGTGATCTCGGCTCACCGCAACCTCCGCCTCCTGGGTTCAAGCAATTCTCCTGCCTCAGCCTCCTGAGTAGCTGGGATTACAGACATGTGCCATCACGCCCGGCTAATTTTTATATTTTTAGTAGAGACGGGGTTTCTCCATGTTGGTCAGGCTGGTCTCCAACTCCCGACCTCAGGTGATCCGCCCACCTCGGCCTCCCAAAGTGCTGGGATTACAGGCATGAGCCACCGCACCCGGCCTTCCTGGCACTTTCATCAGTGAGAGCCTTCTGTGCTGCGTCTTGAAGGCGAGCAATGAAATCAGGATATGGTTCCTTTGAGCCTTGTCTAATAGAATTAAAAGACTGATAAGTAGTTCCCAGATCCTGAATTTTCTCCCATGCCCTCAAACAGCAATTGCGAATTTGTTCAATGGCATCATCTCGAAGTCCTGATGGTTGTTTACAGTTCCCCATTGACCCCCTATTCCTAGAAGTTGTTCAAATGTAATGGCAATAGCAGGATTAGCAGCACGGTTTTTTCGATCTTGATTTTGAGCCTCGTCGGTCCACCAAGTCTTAAACTGAAGAAATTGGGAGGGCGAAAGTGTAACTTTCGTTAAAATCTCCCAATCACACGGAGTCAATAGCTTATTCTGAGCCACAGATTGCAATAGCGATCGGATGAAAGGCGAATTGGGACCATACTGACCAACAGCTGCTTTAAGATCTTTGAGCAGCTTAAAAGAAAATGGTTCCCATACCGCTTGATGGGCTCCACCTTGCTGTCGTGGGGGTTGCAAAACTACTGCAAACTGCCAGGCATCAAGATCTCCGGCTAATCTAGCCTGCCGAATAGTAAACTGTAATGGCGATTCATTAACATTAGATGGCAGTGCAGCCTTATGTTGTACTGGTGCTACACCATGCGCTCGTGGTTCCTGAGGCCACAATTCATTCATTCGTGAAACAGGGCAAATTTGAGATTCAGACCTCCAAGGCTCCAAGCTACATTGCTTTATTGGAGGCGGCCACTCCGGATGATCCCAATGAGGAGCCGACTGCTCCTCAAGGCCCTTCTTTGTTTTAAACATCTTGGCATATATGGCTTCTCTATTTTAGGAGCAGCTGAAGGTCCCACGTGCTCCTCAAAAGAAATTAACTCATCTCCAGGTTTGTCTGTATTTTCCTCAAAATCTTCTTCACTATCCTCTCCTCCTTCAGCAGCATCACCACCTTCCTCTGCAGAAATTCTTTCTGCTGGAGGATAAGCCTCATTTTCCGATTGAAACGGTTCCGAGGCTGCTTTAACTATAGCCCAGTTTGACCAGGCTGTTAGGGGGATAAATTTTCCTTCCTTACAAACTTGTTTTAAGGCAATTCCCACCTGTTCCCAATCTTTGAAGTCCATGGTACCATGTTCAGGAAACCAAGGACGATATTGCTCTACTGTTGGAAACAGAGTAATCAAATTTTCTGTGCTAGCCTTAATTCCTGCCCTCTTTAAGAGGAGCTTAATAAAATGTAAATATGCAGAATGTTTACTTTTGGATTGTCCCATGGTGTCCCTGGAATGCTCCGAGTGCACAAGCTTACCGCAAGGCCGACCACACGTTCTCGGGAGTTCCTGGACAGACCGTTCTTCACAACGACCACGCTCAGGTGTAACTTCACCTGGGTTCAAGGAGACCGTGTTGGGTGCCAAAGATGTAGGGGAACCTGCCTGATACACCACCCGCAGGCTCTCCCCTTCCCGGTGGAGACGAGGGAATGAGAAAAGAAATAAAGACAAAGACACAAAGTTTAAGAGTTAACAAAAGTGGGTCCAAGGATCCATCGCAACGTGGAGATTGCAAAGGCCAGGAGCTCTGGGTTCCACTGATATTTATTGAGTACAGTTCCTTTGATCCTATAGGCTGAGGGTGGGCTGATGGTGAGGTGATCATTGGGTGAGCATAGGGAGAGGTGGCGGAGCCTGCTGTGTCGGTCATTAGCCAGTTAATACTATTTACTGTTCCACTACGTAAGCTAATACTCTATGTTTAACTTACAGATAATCATCAGAGTCCAACTAAGCGGCTAATAGAACAGAACAGGACGTGAAAGCAAACAGCCCTTCAAACCCACAGGCCTGTACATCAAAGGAGTGGTCAACGCCTGAGCACCGTCAGCAGAGCAGCTGCTTTGCCTCTGGGAACATGCGGGAGATAGGAGGCTTCCTCCTTAACCCTACTGCAGAGGACTTCTCCTCTTTTACCAGCAGCCTCCTGCAGTACCCTCCCGGGTAATGGAGCAGGGGTCGCTTCCCTTCCCATGAGACCTTTGTTCAGGCACTCAAGTGGAAGGTTGAGCAATAAGCCAACTTTCTTGCTCAGAGGCTCCGCAGACTTCCTGTGGTTGTTTGTTCCACTCTGTGGTCAGTCAAGCAAGCTCACCGCCTGATTCTCTTATTGTTGTACTAAGCACAAGCTATTATACTTATGATTCATAATCATATTAGTAAAGCACTATTCTAAAGCATATACTATTAATCTTTAAATGGGCACAGTGTAGGCTGGTCCTCAACCACCTGGGCCCACATCCAAGCCCCCTATTTCAACCCACACATCCCTCTCCATTTCTGCCACTTTTGTCTCTGTCCCAGGCTTCAGCACCTTCTTAGGTCAGTGGGGGATGCGGGTGGGGACAGAAGAGTCTGTTTCTCATTCCCTGGGGTAGTGAGCAAAGGCACCCCTGGGATGTCCAACATGGATGGGGGTGCGGTGAGGGGAAGGCGGGCACAAAGATAAAGAGGAGGCTGGAAGAGGACCTGGCAGAGAGAAGAAGGGATTGGGGTTCTAGGCACTGTTCTGGGGTGGCACAAGCAGCTCTCCCTCCACCCTGGGAGGGATTTCAAACAAATTAAAAACATGGTTCATACAAATTAGAATGTTCACAAGTCAAATATTTTATTCGACTCAGCCAGATGGTCATGCTGGTTTCAAGAACAATTGAGGAGCCGGGCACTTACAGGCAATTTAATAAAGGAATGTTAGGACACGATTGTTGGGTTAGATATGAAACTAGTCAACATTCTACAGAGCAATGAACTATAATCTCCAGTTTATTTGCTTTTAAAAAAAGGAACAAATCATTTACATGAACTTCACATAAATCGAGGCCTTTATTAATAACACACAGAAAAGTCAAACAGTGGTATGCCGTGCTAGAAAATAAAGCATCCCTCCCAGCACTTTGGGAGGCCGAGGTGGGAGGATCACTTGAGGTCAGGAGTTCGAGATCAGCCTGGTCAATATGGCGAAACCCCGTCTCCACTAAAAATACAAAAATTAGCCGGGTGTGGTGGTGGGTGCCTGTAATCCCAGCTATTTGGAAGGCTGAGGCAGGAGAATCTCTTGAACCCGGGACGCGGAGGTTGCAGTGAGCTGAGATGGCACCATTGCACTCCAGTCTGGGTGACACAGTGAGACTCTGTCTCAAAAACCAGAAACCACCCCCCCAAAAAAAAGAAAGAAGGAAAACCAAAAATTAAAGAAAAGAAAACATCTTTAAAAGGACAGGCAGTTGTCCTCTTGATTCTATTCATCAGTTTTGGATAATTTTTCTTAACAAGGCTGTTCCCTGTGAGTACCTCAAGCAATCAAATAGATCTCCTTTTCAGGGTTTCACCTCTCTCTCTTTCTCTCTCTCTCTCTCTCTTAGTTTAAGGCTCCCACTTCTTTACTCCTCAATGTGGCCCTGCTGTACAATCCCACTCTCCTTCTCAAGCAACAGCTAGGTGTGCATCCTTCTTTCCAGATCTTTCCTTGCCATTTCTATTGATTTACATACTTCACTTAAAAAAAAAACACACAAGGGGGCCCAGCGCGGTGGCTCACGCCTGTAGTCCCAGCACTTTGGGAGGCCGAGGCGGGCGGATCATGAGGTCAGGAGATCGAGACCATCCTGGCTAACACGGTGAAACCCTGTCTCTACTCAAAATAAAAAAGATTAGCCAGGCATGGTGGCGGGCGCCTGTAGTCCAAGCTACTAGGGAGGCTGAGGCAGGAGAATGGCATGAACCCGGGAGGCGGAGGTTGCAGTGAGTTGAGATCATGCCACATGGTGGCATGTCTCGCTGGGTGACAGAGCAAGACTCCGTCTCAAAAAACAAAAAACAAAAGGGATCATGTGCTTCTCATGGTGTGACTTGTTTTCTACCTATATTATATAACACTTCATCATTAATGCATTCAAGTGCCAACTTGACTGCATTGAGGAATACCGAGAGAACTGGTAAAGCATTATTTCTGGTTGTGTCTGTGAGGGTGTTTCCAGGGGAGATTGCTGTGAGTCAGTGGGCTGAGTGGGAAACATCCACCCTCAATGTGGCAGGCATCATCCAATCATTGTGGGTCCTGGTGGAACGAAAAAAGGGAGAAAAGGATTTCCTCCCTTTCTCTCTGTCCTGGAGCTGGGACACTCTCCTCCTCCTGCTCTTGGTGATCAGAACCCTGGCTCTCTGGCTTTGGGACTCCAGGACCCATACCAGTGGTCCTCTGACCAGTGGAAGTATTCTCAGGCCTTTGGTCTTGGACTGAGAATTACACCATTGGCATCCGTGGTTCCAAAGCCTTCAGACTTGGACTGAGCCATGCTGCTACTGGCATCCCAGGGTCTCCAGCTTGCAGACAGCCTGTAGTGGGAACGGCCTGTAGTGGGACTTCTCCGCCTCCATAATCACGTGAGCCAATTCCCCTAATTTCTCCTTATATATCTGTCTATAGTCATGCACCACATAATGACATTTTGATCAATGATGGACCACATGTACAATGGTGGTCCCATAAAATTATAATGAAGCTGAAAAAGTCCTAATGCCTAGTGACATCATAGCTGTCATGATGTCATAGCACAATGCATTACTCACATGTTCGCGGTGATGCTGGTCTAAGTAAAATTTTGTGCTGCCAGTCACATAAAAGTGTACAGTGACGGCCTAGGCCCTCACATTCCCTCACCATGCACTCACTGACACACCCACAGCGACTTCCGGTCCCGCAGCTCCATTCATTACACCATCGGCATCCCTGGTTCCAAGGCCTTCAGTAAATGCCTTACTTAGGTGTACCACTTTTTGCCTTTAGCAATATATTTTAATTGTACCTTTTCAATGTGTAGATATTATCATTGTGTTACAACTGCTTATAGTATTCGGCATGGTAACGTGTTGCACAGGTTTGCAGCCTGGGAGCGACAGGCTAGACCATATAGCCTAGGTGTGTGGTACGCGCTACCATTTAAAATTGTGTTAGCAGACTCCGCGGTGTTCACACAATGATGAAATCACCTAACACATTTCTCAGAACATATCCCCATCGTTAAGTAATGCATGGCTATATGTCTATTATCTATTTACTATCTATCTTCTATCTATCTATCTATCTTCTATCTATTTATCTATCTTCTCTCTACTATCTATCATCTATCTACTATCATCTATCTATCTTCTACTATCTATCTACTGTCTTCTATCTATCTACCTATCTTCTATCTACTATATTCTATCTATTTATCTATCGATCTTCTATCTACTCTCTATCTATCATCTATCTATCGATCTATCTACTATCATCTATCCATCTTCTATTATCTACTGTCTATCTACTATCTACTGTCTTCTATCTATCTATCTTCTATCTACTGTCTGTCATCTATCCATCTATCTACTATCATCTATCTATCTTCTATCTACTATCTGTCTACTATCTATCTACTATCATCTATCTCCTATCTACTATCTATCTATCTTCTACTATCTATCTATCTTCTATCTACTATCTGTCTACTATCTGTCTACTATCTATCTACTATCTATCATCTATCTTCTATCTACTATCTATCTATCTTCTACTATCTATCTTCTATCTACTATCTGTCTACTATCTGTCTACTATCTACTATCTATCATCTATCTATCTTCTATCTACTATCTACTATCTATCTTCTATCTATCTACTATCTATCTATCTATCTATCTATCTATCTATCTATCTATCTGTCATCATCTATCTATCTACTATCTATCTTCTATCTATTTACCATCCATCATAGCCCAAGGAGGCCACCATTCTGGAGCATTAACTGGATATCCCTAGAGGTGAATGTTCTCTGTAGAGAATGTTCTCTGTAGAGGTGAAGTTCTCTGTAGAAGAGAAGAACCTTCTCTTCTCAAGGCGGGGAGGCCAGCTGAGAGCTCTAGGGCTAGGGTTGTGTGGTGTGTGTGGCGGGGGGACCTCACAGGCTCACAAGCTCACAGGCCCTGGGCAGAGGAGGTGGTGGTGGCTTCTCCAAGAGTGGTTAGGGACTGACTGCTTGGATTTTCACGGCTATGCTGCCTTGGACGCTGCAGTTTCTCCTGGAAATGATAGTTGATCCCAAAAGATATATACTGAAACAAACACCAGTTTATTGACTGGGGTGCAACTGCCCTCCAACTCACCAGTACATCCACGCATGCAACCATCCAATCACTTTCCCTTCATCCAACATTAAACAAACATTTGTTGGGTATCACTCTGTGTCAATGCAGCGCTGGGCATGAGGCCTGGCAAGTTGAGTGAGACCCAGCTCCTGCATTCAAGAAGCTCACAGTCTGGTTGGGGAGACACAGGTAAGCGATGGGCACCACAGGGTTTTAGGAATTATTTGTGCAGGAATTAATTCCTTCATTCAGCACGTACTTACCAAGCACCTGCAGTGTGCCGGCGCTGTGATGGGCAGTTGTGAACCTTGTCCTCCTGAACTGGAAGTCCAGCAATAGAGGTCAGGATGGCTAGGTCAGCTGGAAATGCCTCCGAGGGATAGGCAATGGGGCAATAGAAGGATGAAGGAGGCACACCAGCTCGTAACTGTCCCATCTTGGAAAGGACACACATCACTCCTCTGCGAATTAGTGTTCTGGCCAGAATTAGTCACATGGCCTCAATCTAACTTTAAGGCAGGCTGGGAAATGTTGGGAAGTACATGAGGTATTGGGTGAACATAAACTCTCTCTGTTCCAGGAACCAGTGGTCTCTGCTGCTCCGTGTTACGTCAAACAGCCTCTCTCACGGAACTGAATATGGAGGCAAATAACTCAAGGATGAAAAATGGTAGGCGCTTCATTATTCCCATGGCAGTGCCTGAGGACAGCATCCATCAGTTCTTGTCCCTTGTCCCCCAGATGCCTGGAGCTTCCTGGGTTTCAGTTTCTTTCCTGAAACTGCATGATTAACTTTTTTTTTTTTTTTTTTTGAGATGGGGTCTCACTCTGTTGCCGAGGCTGGAGTGCAGTGGTGCAATCTCGGCTCACTGCAACCTCTGCCTCCCGGGTTCAAGTGATTCTCCTGCCTCGGCCTCCCAAGTAGCTGGGATTACAGGCGCCTGCCACCATGCCCAGCTAATTTTTGTAGTTTTAGTAGAGACGGGGTTTCACCATGTTGGTAAGGCTGGTCTTGAACTCCTGACTTCAGGTAATGCACCCGCCTCGGCCTCCCAAAGTGCTGGGATTATGGGTGTGGGCCACCGCGCCCGGCCTTTTTTTTTTTTGAGACAAGATCTCGCTCTGTTGCCCAGTCTGGATTACTAGAATGCAGTGGTGTGATCACTGCAACCTCTTCCTCCGTGGATCAAGCAGTCCTCCCTCCTCAGCCTCCCGAATAGCCAGGGCTATAGACGTGAGCGACCACGCTCTGCTACTTTTTAATTTTTTTTGAAGAGATGGGGTCTCACTATACTGCCCAAGCTGTCTTGAAGTCCTGGGCTCAAATAATCCTCCTGCCTTGGACTTCCAGTGCTGGGATCACAGGCTTGAGTCCCTGCGCCTGGCCTGCATAGTCAGCTCTTTAACTTCTCAAGGAACTCCATTTCTTTTCCATTAACTCCTTTATTGCTTAAGTTAGCAGGAATTGATGGAAAGAAGTTTGACAGATACATATATCTCTAAATCACTTTCGGTATACTCACTCTCAACGAGGAATGAGCATGTCAAATGCCACTTGCCAGTCAGCCCTACCCTTTCTGAGGCACTGTTCTGTTTTTTTCCAATGGTAATGTTTATGCAGTTATAGTATATAAATTGCATTTTTGTCCACATTGTTTTATAAAAATCAGTGAAACTGAAAAACAAAAGCACTCATGCCTGCAATGTGTAGTAGTGATGGAAATCATTAGATGAATTGTAAAGGATGCATTTTGTTTTTACACCAAAAAAGCAAAGGCAATTTTAAAATTTGGAAAGTGCTGGTCAAGTATTTTGCAGAATGTCCCTCAATCTGGGTTTGTCTGTATTTTTCTCATCACTAGACTGTAGTTATGAGTTTCTAGAAGAAACCACAGAGATGAGGTGCTCTTCTTACAACATTAGAGCAAAGCAACATGGTATCAGCAAGTTCACCTGGATTTTTTTTTTTTGTTTTGACACAGAGTCTCTCCCTGTCACTCAGGCTGGAATACAGCAGCATGATCTCGGCTCACTGCAACCTCTGCCTCCTGGGTTCAAGCGATTCTCCTGCCGCAGCCTCCTAAATAGCTGGGATTACAGGCGCCTGCTACCAAGCCCGGCTAGTTTTTGTACTTTTAGTAGAGATGGGGTTTTGCCATGTTGGCCAGGCTGGTCTTTAACACCTGGCCTCAAGTTATTCGCCCGCCTCGGCCTCCCAAAGTGCTGGGATTACAGGTGTGAGCCACCACGCCTGAACTCACCTGGATTATTTGATTAAGGTGATGTCTACCAGGTGTCGCCACGGGAGTTTTTTTTTTTTTTTTAAAGGACACTTTTTTACCTTAATGGATGCTCACCGACTATGAGCCAGAAAAAAAAGAAAAACAGAATGAAAGAATGTGTATGAAATGTAAATCCATCAGTGATGATGAAATCTAGCAGCAAAGTATGATTAGAGATATGACAATGTTTTCTGATTCTCTGGAAACGGAACCTGCCTTATAACGTACAAGTCTTTAACTTTAGGGGATGTTTTTAAGAAAGTATACATAGGCACTGCCTGTGCCGACTGGGTGTTCTCATTCTGCCTGGCTCCCAGTGACCCTTTTTCAGTGTTTTGTTCACTTTAAAGCTGAGACAGTAGGTCACAATCAACCTCTTGGGTATTTTTTGTTTTCATTTTTGTTTTTCTGAGACGGAGTCTCACTCTGTCACCCAGGCTGGAGTGCGGTGGCATGATCTGGGCTCACTGCAACCTCTGCCTCCCAGGTTCAAGTGATTCTCCTATCTCAGCCTTCCAAGTTGCTGGGATTATAGATGTGTGCCACCACGCCTAGCTATTTTTTGTATTTTGGGTGGAGACCGGGTTTCACCACGTTGGCCAGGCTGGTCTTGAACTCCTGACCTCAGGTGATCCCTCTACCTTGACCTTCCAAGGTGCTGGGATTATAGGTGTGAGCCACCACGCCCGGCCTTGTTTTTTTTTTTTTTTTTTTTTAATAGAAACGGGGTCTTGCTCGGTTACCTGGGCTGGAGTGCCGTGGCACAATCATAGCTCACTGCAGCCTCAAACTCCTGGGCTCAAGCAGTCCTCCCACCTCAGCCTCTCGAGTAGTTAGGACCACAGCCACATACCACCAGGCCCAATTTGTTTTTTAATTTTTATTTTTTGGTAGAGGTGGAGTCTCGCTATGTCGTCCAGGCTGGCCTTGAACTTCTGACCTCAAATGATTTTCCCGCCTCCATCTCCCAAAGTGCTGGGATTATGGGCATGAGCCACTGCGCCCAGTCTCTTTGGCAGCCACTTCTTGGTGGCTGTCCTTGAGTTGGGTGACCATAAGGTCCAATCAGTGGATGCTAGTGGGCCCTGGGGCGGGATTATGTGCTTCCCCCCACGGCTGTAAAACGCAAAACAAAACCAACTAGCAAAACCCTCAAGGTGGGCTCTGCGGGCACTTTGAGGCTTGGAGCCTCCAAAAGACTCAGTGGTTCTGTCCTGAGACTCTGTTCTTGGTAGATTTTCTGCTTTCTCTGTTTTGATTTTGTTTCTGTTTTTGTGTGTGTGTATGGTGGTGGGGGTGAGTTACAGAGTCTGGTTGTCCCAGGAGAGGCACATGGGGGCCTGTTTTTTCTGAGGAGTCCTTTTCTCTGGGTGCCAGTTATCCTAGAGCGATGTGGTCAAAGGGATGTCATCTGGGCCTGTGTTCCCCTGGGATTTAGATGGAGACGCTGTTCTCGATGAGGGGAGGGTCTAGGTAGGTGTAGGGCAGCACCAGGCCCTGGTTCCGCTCCTGGATGCCCCTCGAGATCTGGGCCAGGCGGCTCTGGAAGGTGGCGATGCTCCGCCGAGGGGCCTCCTCTGTGAAGTGCTCATCCGGATAGGTGCCCAGGGGCCTCTGAGGATCCACCACAAGGTTGGGTGAGGCGGCTGCTGAGGTCCTGCATCCCAGACTCCTGGTCCCCACTATCTGAGCAGCTGCAACTTGCCTTAGCCAGCTCTGGCCCTAGCCCCCAAGTGTGGGACCTGAAGTAGCCCTCGATGGGGCCTGATCCATGTCCCTCCTCTTAAACAGATATCCATGTAAAGCTTATCTGCAGGAAGCTTTCGGGGAATGAAAGCTCAATTCGGAATTTCCAAGAAGCATAATTACACGTTCCCCTTGCTACTGAGAGTGGCTCCGCATCATCGCATTTGGCCATTTGACCTTCACTGTGAAATGTCCAAGGCTCATGTGTCCCACTGGAGGGTCAGTGGGGCAAAGGGACCCGCTACCTGATGGCAGGGTTGGGTCTGGGCCAGCAGGGTAAACATCACACCCTCTCTTACCCCAATTTGGCCCAGCCTGGCCCCCAGCCCCACACTCACTTGGTCTCCAGGCTCCTTGCTCAGCAACCAGAGAGCAAGGATGACATCACATGTGGCATTGACAGGTGGGAGGGTGGCTATGAAGCCCTCGCATGTTGCCAGGCCTTTGGAGGTGGGTGGTGGCAGCTGCATGCTGGGTGGCAGGTTGGGCATCCAAGCACAGGAGTCAAACTGAAGGCCGAGAGGGCAGAATGAGGCTGAGGAGCTGGGTCACCTCCAGCCTGCCACCTCGGGCGCTGGCCTTTCCTCACCTGCCCTGCACTGACAGCCGCATGCTTGGCGGAGCAGGTGAATATCACCATGGTGACATACTGCACCAGGGCTTCCCGGGTCTCCAGTGAGGAGGGTATACCTGCAAGGAGAGCTGGGCTGGGATGGGGCTTCCAGGGACCTGAGGACCCTGCTGCGGAGGCTTGAGGGTGAGCCTTGAGGGTGGGGGACACGGGGACGGGGCCACTCAAATGCGTGCTCTGCAGGGGGTGGGGGACACGGGGATGGGCTCACTCAAATGCGCCTGAGGGCTGAGGTCCCTGTACCTGAGCTCTCCTGGTTTAGGAAGCCCTTGGAGAAGATCTCTCTGACCCAGGCCTGGAGCTCTCTGTCATCTTGGACAGACTCATCACTTGGGTAGTAGATACCGATGATTTCAGAGACAAAGCTGCAATGCATCCAGGTTCAGGTCCAGCCTCCAACCCCGACCCGCTCTGAGGAATGCCTCTGCTTAGCATCATGAATGTCTGGCCCTCCTCCTCAACGTGAGCCTCCCTGGGGCCTCAGTCTCCTTTCCTGTCTTCCCACGTCCCCGACCAGCCCTCGGCTCTCCAGGGACGGCCCCTCACCGTTCCACTGCACCCCAGATCTGCATCCCATCATCACGGTAGTAGTAGCCTGGGATGTCTTCAACTCCTCGGGTCCGGATATCCTCAGGCAGACACAGGAGAGAATAGTTCAGCTGCTTCATGTTCCTCTGTATCAACTCAGAGAAGCCTTCAATGCCGATGCCTGTGGACTGAGAGACAGGACTCTTGGGTCCTACAGACCTTGCTCCAGAAGCAGGAGGTAGCACTGGTGTCGGGGAGATGGGCCACTCCTACCCCAGGACCTCAAATTCGTCACATTGAAGGAGTGGCCTGCCTACTCCCTCCCCAACACAGCTCTCACCCTGTCCACCACCTGCCCTGGCACGATAAGCAGCTCCCGGGCGAGTGTGTTGATGTGCAGGGTGTATCGGGTGTGCGGGATCAGCAGCTGCATGGCAGGAAAATGGCAGAGCTAGGGGAGGCCTGGGTTGTTCTGGCCCCAGACCTTCCCCCACACAGGCACCAGCCCTGCAAGTCACTTGGAAAGAGGCAACAAGAATGAGAGGAGGCAGCCTGGGACAGGGGTCTGAGCCCTGGAGTTCCTGCTGGGCTCCACCAGCAGCTTGTTCTGGGAGCTCAGGCGTGCTCCTTCCTCTCCCTGAGCCTCAGGTTGTTTTGTCAAATGTGGGTGCTGATGTGGCTGAGCCCTGTGTCTTCCGGCTCTGGCATCCTGTGATTTCCTAGCCCCTAGGCAGGGAAGGCACTAGGAAAACCAGGGCCTGTGGGCCTGGCAATGTGGAGCCGTCCACCAGAGCCCACCTCTGAGCGCCAGGCCTCAGAAGCTGCAGATAGTCAGAAAGAACCAGCTAGTACAGAAGAGCACAGAGTAGGGCCCGCATCTGGGACCCAGGAGAAGTCTAGAAGGATCAGAGAATCTGAGCAGCGACTGTGGGTGGACCCTGGGAGGGGGCCATCCTGCCCTTCACAGAGGAGATGCCTCGAATCCATGCCGTCTGAAAGCTAGCAGGGTCTAGGAAACCTACAGAACCCACCCTAGAGCACGGGGGCCTCCCACCCAGCCCTCCCCTACCCCAGAAGTATCTGCAGAGAACTTGTTGGTCTCTCAAAGCCATGTTCAAACTTTGGCACCTGCCAGCCCCAGGTCCTTCCCCTTCCTAAGATTTGGGCTTCTATGACGGCTGTTGATGCTGCCTGATCTCCCTTCGAGAGCCTTTCTGGGGTGCTGCATTTATGTTACTTAGGGCCTGCTGGATAGCAGGCTTCCAGGGGAGTTGTGCCAGGAGATGCTGCTGAAGCGGACGGGGGCTCTGCATCCCAGCTTGCATGGATAGGGCCATGTGAGGAAAGGCTGCTTAGAAGAGGCACAGAGGCATGGGCACAGGCTGGGCCACCTTGTCAAGCCACTGACCTTGAAGAGAGGGTGGCAGTGGGGCAGCTGACGCAGGGTAGCCAGGGTGAAGACCTCAGGCAGCAGATGTGAGTGCAGCAGGTGCGTGAGGGCCTCATGGAAGGAGAACTCGGCATTGCGCACCCAGGTCTTGGCCAGCAACCAGTCCCACTTGTCATCAGTGGGCAGGAAGATGGGGCTGTTTGGGCCGGGGGTCTGGCTGAGCTGGGGGGAGGCAGGTGGGGAGAGAGGCAGCCATGAGTGTCTTCCAACCATTCTCCTGACTCTTCTTCACGCTGCCCTGCCCCTGCCTGACTGCATACCTGGATGGCGAGAGGCAGCAGCGGCCCGCAGCCTGGGCTCTGGTATAGCAGGGTCATTGGGGCCGCAGAGAACTGAGGCTTCCCATTAATGACATTGGTCTGGATGCCAGAGAGGATGCCGTGATCCACCAAGAACAGGGAGCCCTTCTGCAGAAGAAAGGAGATCTGGGGCTGCCACCTGGTTTTCTAAATGAAGGGGGTGCAGTTGTAGAAGGGAGAGGATTCAGGGCTGGGAGAGGAGTGTGTTTCGGGAGAGTGTGCTTGGCACGCAGCACGCGGTAGGTCCCTAACAAATGTGAGTGTGCCCCTCTGTCTCCAGTAGGGGACGGGTGTGAAGGCACTGAGATGGGACTGTGCAGAGCCAAGATCCCTGCACCCCTCACCTCTAGCTCAGCCTGCAAGCTGGTCCCAGGACCCAACACTGAGGCCACCATGGCATCAGTGACGGGGAAGTTCTTTGGGAGGTAGTGACAGCGGCGGATCAGGACAGGGTTGAGACCATTCAGGAACTGGGAGGCGAAGAAGGCGTCCTCCTGCCAGTGCTCAAATGCGTGCTCTGCAGGGGGTGGGGGACAGGGGAACGGGGTCACTCAAATGCGTGCTTTGCAGGGGGTGGGGGACACGGGGACGGGGTTACCCCAGCTCCCACAGGCCTCTGGCTAATCTTCACAGTGTGTCCTCAGAGTTACCTCCCCTGCCCCTTGTCTTCAGTCACTGCCTCTTCACCCAGCAGCAAATCATAGTCCCCAGCCCATGCATCCCAGTGTCTGCCTGACACTCCCCCTGAATAACTCACTAGCCTCAAATGCAACACGTTGCAGGCCAAATACAGATTATTCCTACAGCTCAGGTCAGTCCCATTGCCTGATATTTGGGAAGTGGCAGCTCCATCCCCCACCCAGTTGCCTACAGAGGAGACTCGGGACCCTTTCTTTTTCTTTCCTTTTTTTTTTTTTTTTTTGAGACAGGCTGTGTCGCTGTGTTGCCCAGGCTGGAGTCCAGTGGCGTGACCTCGGCTCACTGCAACCTCTGCCTCCTGGGTTCAACCGATCCTCCTGCCTCAGCCTCCCAAGTAGCTGGGATTACAGGCACACACCAGCATGCCTGGCTAATTTTTGTCTTTTTGGTAGAGACAGGGTTTCTCCATGTTGCTCAGACTGGTGTCGAACTCCTGGGCTCAAGTGATCTGTCTGCCTCAGCTTCCGCCTTTTCCTTTTTCCTTTTCTTTCTTTCCTTCCTTCCTTCCTTCCTTCCTTCCTTCCTTCCTTCCTTCCTTCCTCTCTCTCTCTCTCCCCCACTCCCCACCTCTTTCTCTCTTTACAGGGTCTGACTCTCTTGCCCGGGCTGGAATGCAGTGGGGCTATCTTGGCTCAGGGCAACCTCCATCTCCCAGGCTTAAGCAATTCTCAGGCCTCAGCCTCCTGAGTAGCTGGGACTACAGGCCCATGCCACCACACCTGGCTAAGTTTTGTATTTTTAGTAGAGACGGGATTTTGCCATGTTGGCCAGCCTGGTCTCAAACTCCTGACCTCATGCAATCTACCTACCTTGGCCTTCCAAAGTGCTGGGATTACAGGTGTGAGCCACTGCGCCCAGCCGGAGCCTGGGGACCTCTCTTGGCAGTACCCCTCACATATCAAATCCCATTGATTCTCCATCCTGAGTACCTCTCGGTCCACCCATCCTCTCCATTGCATTGCCACTGCCTTGCTGAGGCCACCATCCTCTGGTGACCACAGCCAGAGCCTCATAGCAGATTCTCATAGTCTCTTGCCCCCCAGCAGTGCACAGTGACCACATTATTCCCCTGCTGGCAACCAGTCAAGCACTGGGCTGAGGAAAGACGCAAGTCCTGCCATGGCCGACAAAGTCCTGTGCGACCCCCGTGCACCTTCCTGCTCCTTCTCTCGCTCTCCTTCTCTTGTTCATTACACTTTGACCACAGTGGTGTTTTCTTTCCTCCAAAGGTGGCTGATCCTTCTGTCTTCAGGGCCTTCACACTCACTGTTCCCCGAACTGCTCTCTGCCCCCACGGCCCATCCTTGGCACTGCTAAGGCCTACTGAACTTTGAGGTCTCAGCATAGTTCACCCCCTTGGGAGAGCTTTCCTGGGGCCCTCTCCAGGGTATGGCAGGTGCCCCCTTTACACCCTCACTGGATCCAATGAGCATGTTTCACAGTGAAATGAATTATTTGATTTTGAGTCTAATTAACACCAACTGGCCTGCTCAACTGTGAGCCCCGTGAAGAACCATGTAGCCCCTAACCCGGTGTCTGATATGTAGCAGCTCAACAAATGTCTGTTGTATTAGAAGGCGTTAGAAGGTCAGGGATCCCCTCCGTCCATATTCTCTTTTGTCTCTGTGGGGAAAAGTAAGGTCTAGCAAGGACCTGATCAGGGTTACATAGCAAATTGGTGCTTGGTTTTCTGAGACTCTGGGCAGCCACAGGAGCTGATGCCCCAGGAAAGAGGTCAGGATCCCTGGCCCAAGCTCCTCACCAGCTGCTGGGGTCCTCCGGAAGTTGAAGATCCTTTTCATCTCATTCAGACTCCTCCAGAGCCCCTTGCGGTCCAGCAACCCCTTGATTTTCATCTCTGCAAAACTGCCAGGGGATGTGAGGGGTGGGGAGTGGGGAGGAGGCCCTGGGAGACCCTTCCCTGTCAGCCAGCCTTATGCCTCTTGGGATCCTGAACCAGCCTCCGGGCCCAAGGTAGTCACTACCCCTAAGGTAGCTGTTGCTCTGTGGGATTGGTAGTGGGAAGGAGGCTGTTTCCTGGGCAGGACTATGTGACTCATATCACTGAGGGTGGGGGAACTGACTAGGGGAGGGCAGAAGGCAGAGGTCATAGGGCATCTGAGGCCCAGGGGCAGGGAAGGGTGGGCATCCTCACGCAGAGCCAGCCTGTAGATAAAAGTTGGCATTCTTGGCTGTGGAGTATTTGATATTGAGCTCCAAGTCTTCCACTGTCTTTTCATCCAGGCAGTGAGGCCAACCTGGGTTGTAAGCCTTCCACCTGGAGGGTAGAGAGGGAAGGTGGTCAGCAAGAGGCCTCAGGGAGACTCTTTGCTAGGGCAGATGGAGTGGCAGTCCCCTTGGGGGGCCTGGTCACAGCCAGACCCCTTCAGCCAAGAGGGCCCTCCTGGGAGCTGCCCTTCCATTCTACCCAAGGAGGCTGCAAGGGAGCTGCCATTTTCCCACAGTGAGATGGCTCCCCTGGTCAAGGGTGATTGGTCCAGAGTTGAGCACCTGACTAGAGCTGGGCCAATCAGAGTCCTTTCCAGGGAATTTGCCATTGGGGCTGAGCCAGAGAGGTGGTCTCTCTCTGGATATGTAGATTATAGCAGTAAACACAGACTGTTAGTTATGGCCATTTTCCACTGGGTGGACAATTCCTGCCTGTGTTTCTGTAAGTGCCTCTGTGTCTGGCCGACAAACTTTTTTTCTGCCTGCTAGTTGGAGTTAGCTTTTGTTCTTGCAACTATAGAAGTCCCGACTAACACAGACGCATCTTGTAGAGGCGAGACTATCCTGGGACAGGGGCTGCGCAGAAGGTTTCAGTTGCCTTTGGTAGGTGTCCCATAGAGAGGCACTTCAGCCTTCATAGTTTAGGGGGAGCCGCCCGAGGCATCTCTAAATTCTATTCTCAAACAAGCAACACAGCCAAAGACCTTCCAGGGAAATGGTAAATTCATGTATCTGCAAACTTGATGACCCCTAGCCAGTCATGCTCTCACTCATTCATTCTTTGATTCATTCAAAACTTGCTTTTGGGTTTGAGCTTTCAACTTCAAAGAAAAATTTGCAATTAAAGTACACTGCCACCAGGTGGTGGCCAAACCCTTCCTCTCAGACTTGAATCCCTCTCACATAGAGATCTTGGTTAAATGCAGATTCTGATTTCTAACAAGCTCCCAGGCAATGCTGTTGCAATGGATCTGAGACCTCACTGTACGTTTTATAAGAGCCTAGAGTGTTGGAACAGAGTGAACTGAAAGACAGGAACAACAGCAAGAGCACACAGTTGTGCAAGACTTAGCAGCTGACCACCTACATTCTTAACCATTTTCTCATTTGTTCCTCCTAACCCAAACGAGATTGGTATTCTTAGTTTCTTTTACAGAAGAAAATAAGAATTGAAGAGATGAAAAAATTGGTCTAAGATCTCACAGCTCGTTTTGGCAGGGCCTAGGCTGACTCTGGGTCTCCATGGACACAGTAGATCTCAATGTCTATTCCCTCTCTTGGGGCTGTTGCTGCCAGATTTGGTGCAATGGTTTCCTTAGGGGTGGAATTCATGACACATGGAGAATCACCAGGAACCAAATGAGCCTGTGGCTGCTCTGATCCCACAGACCAGGAGCAAAAGCCTGCAGCCCAGGCTTTAGATAGCAGATGAGTTGGCCGGATCAAGATCTTTTGAAAATCTGTTTCTGAATGCAGTTCCTGGCTTTGTGCCAAGGGAATCCTCACTAGCGGCCCCAACTCCTCTGTTATCTCCAAGTCCCAGTTTTCCCCTGTGATCTCCAATGCTGAGCCCAGAGCACAGAGAGAGCCCCCATCTCACCCCTTGCTAGCCCTGGAGGGTGAGTTTCCTGGGGCTTGAAGGGCGTGTTTCTGGCTCTACTCAGATTTCTGGGAGGACACAACAAGCCGATGCATGAAAAAGTCCCAGGGCAAGGAAGACACCAGCAAAGGTAAGGCATTTAAAGCAGTTTCTTTCTCTTTCTTTTCTTTCTTTCTTTCTTTCTTTCTTTCTTTCTTTCTTTCTTTCTTTCTTTCTCTCTCTTTCTTTCTCTCTTTCCTTCCTTTTCCTTCCTTCCTTTTTTTTTTTCTTTTTTTGAGATGGAGTTTTGCTCTGTCCCCCATGCTGGAGTGCAATGGCGTGATCGGCTCACTGCAACCTCCACCACCCGGGTTCAAGCTATTCTTCTGCCTCAGCCTCCCATGTAGCTGAGAATACAGGTGCCCGCCACCCTACCCAGCTGATTTTTGTATTTTTAGTAGAGATGGGGTTTCGCCCTGTTGGCCAGGCTGGTCTCGAACTCCCGACCTCCAGTGATCCGCCTCCCTCAGCCTCCCAAAGTGCTGAGATTACAGGTGTGAGCCACCACGGCACCTGGCCCTAGAGCAGTGTTTTTCAAACATCAGTGGCCACCAGAGTCATCTGGAAGGCTTGTCAAAACAAAAATTCCCACTCTACACCCTCAGTGTCGTAGTAGGTTGGAGGTGGCCTGAGAATTTGCATTTCTAATACGTTCCTGTAGACGCTGCTGATCCCAGGAGCAGCTTTGATAGGAGAGGTGGAGGCAGGGGCTTTTAATCTCTGTCATGACCAGGACACTCAAGCTGCCCCTCATCGTTTGGGCACACCCTCCCCCATCAGTAACCCCCTCCTCACTGGTACATCTCCTGCCGGGCCTGAAGCTCCTCCTGGCGCTGTTGCTGGAGCACAGGGTGGTGGTCTGCCCAGGACACCTTGGCTGTGGGAGAAGGGGAGTAGGTTGGGGTGGGGAGAGAAACTCACCATCACTACCACCAGCCACACAGTCTCCACGATTGCCACCCTCTACCAGGTCCCCTCCTCCCATAAGTACAGTTTCTCCTACACCAGGCTGCTACCTCCCGCTCCCCAAGGCTCCGCCATTCCCTCTCCTCTGCCCGCTACTCTGTGGCCACACCAGCTCACCTCTCCATTTCACCTGCCCTTCTCCCCAACCCCCAGTCCCCTACCCCTTCCTGTGCTCCCCCTGCAGCCCCAGCCCGGCCCGCCCCTCACCTGTACCCTCCTGCAGCACCAGGGTCCCCGCCCCCTCCAGCCACTGGTAGCAGGGGAAGAGGAGGTGGCCGCCCCGCGGCGGTGTCAGCTGGAACCAGCGGCAGAACCAGGCATCCGGGGCCAGGGGCCCCAGCAGGGGCAGCACTGGGGGCGCCTTGTGCACGCGCAGCAGCAGCACTCGGCCTACGTCCTCCGGGAGCGTCACCTGGAAGTCCTCCTCCTGAGGGGAGGTTAAGTATGCGTCAGGCCGGACCCTCCTGCTCGCCCCCTTCACCTCCACCCCATCCACTCCCACGCACTCACAGCGCCCGCAGTGAACTCCTTGCCGAGATTGTCCAGGGGCAGTGGGGGGCTCTCTCCCCGGGTCCCCACGATGCTGACAGACACTTTGTCCCATGTGCCAGCCCCGAAGGCTTCTCCGGTGGACACCCTGACCCTGAACTCGGCCATGCTGCCAGCCTAAGTCCAGCTCTCTACGGCGCACAGGGCTGCAGAGCGGGGCTCCCCCCTGGGACACGCCTGGTTATTGCCCCTGGTTATTGCCACTGACTCCAAGCCCAGTGGACTCCTCTAAAAAGCACGTCCGTTTCAGGGCGGGGAGGGGCGGGGCGGAGAGGCTGGAACACGCAACTAAAGTGGGGGTGGGCGGGGGATTGGCAGCGCTGGGAACAGGAGGGACTAAGAATACCCTGAGGTTTGGGGAACGGGGCCTTTCAGTGGTGGTGCCAGGCCAGAGAGCCTAGAGTTGGGACCCAGTTGGGGTGGGGGTAGATTTGTGCCCACCACGTCTGTTTGTTTTCCTTCTTAGCCTTAGAAGTCTATGCAAAAATATCACCCCATTTCCCACAACTCTTCTTGGGCCTGCGTTCATTATTTTTAAAATTTATTTATTTATTTATTTTTGAGACAGAGGCTTGCTCTGTCGCCAGGCTGGAGTGCAGCAGCATGATCTCGGCTCACTGGAACCTCCTCCTCCTGGGTTCAAGTGATTCTCCTACCTCAGCCTCCCCAGTAGCTGAGACAACAGGCGAGTGCCACCATGCCCAGCTAATTTTTGTATTTTAGTAGAGACGGGGTTCCACCATGTAGGCCAGGATGATCTTGATCTCTTGACCTCATGATCCGCCTGCCTCGGCCTCCCAAAGTGCTGGGATTACAGGCGTGAGCCACCGCGCCCAGCCTACATTCATTATTTTATTTCATTCAATAATTAATGTTCAGAACTACCTCTGTGCCAGGTGCTATGCTCACTGCTATTGATAAAGGCCCAGGCAAGACCTAGTGCTTGCTCTCATGGAGATTAAAAATCAAGTGTGAGGCCAGGCACAGTTGCTGGCCAACATGGTGAAACCCCATCTCTACTAAAAATACAAAAAAATTAGCCAAGCGTGGTGGCGGGCGCCTGTAGTCCCAGCTACTCAGGAGGCTGAGGCAGGAGAATAGCTTGAACCCGGAAGGCGGAGGTTTCAGTGAGGTGAAGTTGTGCCATTGCACTCCAGCATGGGCGACAGAGCAAATCTCGGTCTAAAAAAAAAAAATCAAGTGTGAGAGAAAATAAGTAAACCAACACATAATTTCAGATGATAATAAGTGCAATGAAGGAAATGAAACAGACTAATGTGAAGGAGTGAGAAGCAGAGGTGGGAAGGGAGGCGTTCAGAGCCTCAGAGGAGGTGAAAGGATCTGTCTGGGGAACAGAGTTTTGTGCAGAGGAAACTGTTCCTGAAGAGGCCCTGTGGTTAGGAAAAGCTTGGCTTGTTGGAGGAGGGAAAGGCAAGAGTGCAGTGAGGGAGGGATTTGGGGGAGAGATGCCAAGGGGAAGTTATGGATTTGGGCTTTGGGGGAATAACATAACAGATTTGGGGTTTTCGGTCTGGAGATGCTAAGTTTGAGATGGCCATTAGACATCCAAGTGGAGAACCCACGTCTGGGCATAGAGCTCAGGACTGCAGGTGTGCATCTTTGAGTCACAAGCACACAGGTACATCTATACCACAGGCTGGTGGAGATCACTAGGCAGAGAATATCCTATAAGTAGAGAAGAGAAGAGGCACAAGCTGTGCCCTAAGGTCCTCTGATATTTGGAAGTCATGCAAAGGAGTGGAAGCAGCAAAGTTCAGTCAATGAGGTAGGAGGAGAACGATGCCGGCAGACACTTTGTCCTCTTGTGCCTGTCACAGTGTTTCATGAAAGCCAACTGAAGTGAGAGTGACTTATCATGTATATTCCATATATACCATGGAATACTATACAGCCATGAAAAAGAATGAGATCATGGTCAGGCATGGTGTCTCACACCTGTAATCTCAGAACTTTGGGAGGCTGAGGCAGGCAGATCACGAGGTCAGGAGTTCGAGACCAGCCTGACCAACATGGTGAAACCCCATCTCTACTAAAAATACAAAAATTAGCTGGGTGTGGTGGTGACTGCCTGTAATTCCGGCTACTCAGGAGGCTGAGGCAGGAGAATCATTTGAACCCGGGAGGCAGAGGTTGCAATTCCAGCTACTCAGGAGGCTGAGGCAGGAGAATCACTTGAACCCGGGAGGCGGAGGTTGCAGTGAGCCAAGATCGTGCCACTGCACTCCAGCCCTGGTGATAGAGCGAGACTTCGTCTCAAAAAAAAAAAAAAAAAGAATGAGATCATGTCCTTTGTGGGAACATGGATAGAGCTGGAGGCCATTATCCTTAGCAAACTAACACAGGAACAGAAAACCAATATTGCACGCTCCAGTTCTTACTTTCAATTCTTTAGGATATATACCTAGTAGTAGAATTGCTGGATCATATGGTAACAGTATGTTTAATTTTTTTTTTTTTTTTTTGAGACCGAGTCTCGCTCTGTTGCCCAGGCTGGAGTGCAGTGGCGCAATCTGTGCTCACTGCAACCTCCGCCTCCTGGGTTTAAGCGATTCTCCTGCCTCAGCCTGCTAAGTAGCTGGGATTACAGGCGCCTGCCACCATGCCCAGCTAATTTTTGTATTTTTAATAGAGATGGGGTTTCACCACATTGACCAGGCTGATCTTGAACTCCTGACCTCAGGCGATCCACCCACCTCGGCCTCCCAAAGTGCTGGGATTACAGACGTGAGCCACTGTGCCCAGCCTGTATATTTAATTTTTTGAGGAACCGCCATACTATTTTCCACAATGGACGCAACATTTTACATTCCCACCAGCAATGCAGGAGGAGGGTTCCAGTTTGTCCACCAATGCTTGTTATTTTCTGTTTATTTGATAATAGCCATTTTAATGGGCCTGAACTGGTATCTCATTGTGGTTTTGATCTGCATTTCCCTAATAATCGGTAATGTTAAGCATCTTTCCATTTGCTTGTTGGCCATTTATGTATCACCTTTGGAGCAATGTCTGTTAATGTCCTTTGCCCAAACCATCCGTTCTTAATTCTTATCCATTGCTAGGTTGAATTTTAGATTTATCATGTGAGTCGTATGCAAGACCCACACGTTTTCAAATACGTCAAATGTTTTTATTTATAGATCACTCTTTTTTTTCCTAAAGTAGTATCTATAGTACATTTCTTTATTCATATATCTTCACATGGTCAAGTTTTCTTTCATACATCCAAAATGTAGTGTGATGTTTTCTTATTCACCAAATGTTAGCTCTACTTGTAGTCTGGTTCCAAACTAATCAGCCTGCTTTTAAATTTTAAGACATTTGTTGAAAAAAAAATTTTTTTTCTTTTTTCTTTTTTTTGAGATGGAGTCTCGCTCTGTCGCCCAGGCTGGAGTGCAGTGGCGCAATCTTGGCTCACTGCAAGCTCCGCCTCCCGGGTTCACGCCGTTCTCCTGCCTCAGCCTCCTGAGTAGCTGGGACTACAGGCTCCCACCACCACGCCTGGCTAATTTTTTGTACTTTTAGTAGAGACAGGGTTTCACCGTGTTAGCCAGGATGGTCTCCATCTCTGACCTTGTGATCCGCCTGCCTTGGCCTCCCAAGACATTTGTTGAAAGTTTATAGGATCAAACCAAACTCAAGTGGTATCATTTTTAAACATTGGATTGTACATTATTGTAAAGGTACCAGTAACCATTATTATTAAGAATAAGTTAGTGATTATAGCTCCTTTTGTAATAATTAGATCACTCTCATAATACAAATCAATATTGCAAGTATCCATGTGCCAAAATCTAGTGAGTCTAGGAAAAAGTGAAAATGCTTTATTGTCTCTTCATCCTAAAATACATCCTTGGATACTTAGAAATTTCAGTGAATCTATTTTAAAGGAAACTTTGTGTCACTATTGTAAATCGAAAATTCGTTTCATTTCCCATAATAGAAGGTAAGAATAAAGGAGAATGCAATGAAAACCAAACAGTGTAATTCAATTCCAGGTAGATTCTTTTGCCTGTGGCCAGCTCCCTGTTCCAGGAGATTATCTAACGCTAAAGGGGTGCTAAAAACATATCAATACCAAATTGACACTTTCTCCCTGAAAAGGGGAATTGATTTGCCGTTTTATCTCAATTAAACCTGTGATCTTGCACCTCCAAGGACTTGTCCTGGAGTAGCGTTGCTCAACGTGTGGCAAGCAGATGGCTGGCATCAGATGTCTTTGAATGCTTATTAAAAATGTCAGTTCCGGGTTGGATGTGACTCCTGCCTATAATCCCAGCACTTTGGGAGGCAGAGGTGGGTGGATCACTTGAGGTCAGGGGTTTGAGACCAGCCTGGCCAACATGGCAAAACACCATCTTTACTAAAAATACAAAAATTAGCTGGGCCTGTTGGTGGGTGCCCATGGTCCCAGCTACTCAGGAGACTGAGGCAGGAGAATCGCTTGAACCCAGGACGCAGAGATTCCAGTGAGCCGAGATCATGCCACTGCACTCCAGCCTGGGCAGCAGAATGAGCAGTGTGAGACTCTGTCTCAAAAGAAAAAAAAAATGCCAGTTCCCCATCCCTGCCTCACACCAAGGAGGCAGACTCCCCAGAAGATTAGCCAGGGAATCTACATTTTACAGTAGGGTGATTCTTCTTTAGAACCACTGCCCTTGATCCTTTTGTACTTGGTAAGCATGATGATTGGGTTTTTATGCTTATATATGAGACATGCTTGTCTCAAATCTTGTTACAGCACATTACCCTTCCTACTTAAAAGGTTAAAAAAAAAAAGAACCATCGCCCTTGATCATGTAAATATTTTATTACATTCTGTCCTACAGCTCATGATGATCTCAGACAGGTTGAACAGGAGTTGTCACCCAACCCCTCAAGATATAGATGAAGAAATCTGAGCCCTGACTGGGAAAGGGGTTTACTTGAGATTTTAAAATGTCCATTAAGTCATGTGCACCCCATCTTTGAGCCCCTGAATGATTTGGCTCCTGCTTGCCTTCTTTTTTTTTTGAGATGGAGTCTTGCTCCGTTGCCCAGGCTGGAGTGCAATGGCACCAACTCGGCTCACTGCAACCTCTGCCTCCTGGGTTCAAGCCATTCTCCTGCCTCAGCCTCCTGAGTAGCTGGGATTACAGGTGCCCATCACCACGCTCGGCTAATTTTTTTGTATTTTTAGTAGAGATGAGGTTTTGCCACATTGGCCAGGCTGGTCTCAAACTCCTGACCTCAGGTGGTCCACCTGCCTCAGCCTCCTAAAGTGCTGGGATTACAGGCGTGAGCCACTGCACCGGGCCTTTGTTTCCCTCCCTCCCTCCCTCCCTTCCTTCCTCTTTCCTGTCTTCTCTTTTACTTTCTTTTAAATTCGAATATTCTCATCAAAGCTGTAGATGCATATGATTTAAAGAGTCAAATAGTTCTACAAATCTCTCACCAACAACTGCTTCCTGCTCCACTTCTGTCCTTTCCCTCTCATGAAAGACAATAACTTTCACTACTTTCTTTGATAATCTAAACCACTGCATCTCAAAATAGCATGCATGATTGTTTATTTAATGATTTTTCAGCTTTAGGCAAATATTGGCTTCCCCCTGTGGAAGATAGGATTTTTTTTTTTTTTTTTTGAGACGGAGTTTCGCTCTTGTTACCCAGGCTGGAGTGCAATGGCATGATCTTGGCTCACCGCAACCTCCGCCTCCTAGGTTCAAGTGATTTTCCAGCCTCAGCCTCCTGAGTAGCTGGGATAACAGGCATGCGCCACCACGCCCGGCTAATTTTTGTATTTTTAGTAGAGACAGGGTTTCACCATGTTGGTCAGGCTGGTCTCGAACTCCTGACCTTGTGATCTGCCCGCCTCGGCCTCCCAAAGTGCTGGGATTACAGGCGTGAGCCACCGTGCCTGGCCTGGAAGATAGGATTTCATTTTCTTTCCTAGTCTTGCTCCCATTTGCAAACGTTTCTCACCCCCATCCTTCTAGTACAGTTTTATTAGGACCGAGCAAACGACACTCAGTGTTTACGTGATTTTTGTTATGGATATGCTATTCATAGGGGACATTTATAGTATACTGTAATTATTTTTTTCTTCCATACAAAACCTTTTGTTGTTTCTCTATATAATAATGATTATATTATTGGTCTGGTTTTCTATATATTTTTCATTAGTTTAATCCGAAACTTCACCACTTGTTCAGATTGCCTCTCTATCAGTTCAGACACATCCATTTCCCAGTCGGTTCCACTGTGTGAAGGAGTCTCTCCAGTGTGTCCTGTTGGCTTCTTTCCTGGTCCTCCTGAGCTCTTGCTTCACCACCATCCTTTGTCTTCCTTTTACCTCTCTGCTGTGCTGGAGATTTGTTTCCCGGATCTCATGTTTTGTTATTTCCTGGCTTATTTCTTGGGCTAAGCAAGAAAGGGTATGTGGGAGGGAGGAGAAGTTTTTAAGACTTTGCATGTCTGGAAATGCCTATAATCTATCTATACACTTAAATAGTAGCTCTGAAATCAATTTTTTTTTTTTTTTGGTTCGGAATTTTGAAAGCACTGCTCCAATGGTAGCAGTGTTGCTATAAAGAAGCCTAGAGCTATTTGCATTCCTGATTATTTTCATATGACATGACATTTTCTCCAGAAGCTTTTAGGAGCCTCTCCCTGGCCCAGCTTCCATAATTTCACAATGATGTGCCAAGGTGTAGTCAATTTTTATTAATTGTGCAGTGCTCTCAGTAGGTCCTTTCAGTCTTGAAATTCATGACCCTCAGTGTTGGGAAGATGTCTTGAATTATTTCATCGATTATTTCCTTCTCTTTATTTTTTCAGTGTCTCTTTTTTGAACTTATACTTTAGATGTTGGGTCTCCCAAACTGGCTCTCCAGTTCCCATTCTCGATTTCATTTATTCTCCATTTTATTTTATTTCCAATTTCCCATCATTTTGCCTTTTGTTCTGTTTTCTAGTAGATTTTCTCAACTTTCTCCTCTAGTCCTATTGAGCTATTATTCCTCCTATCATATTTTTTTCACTGGTGGGGTCTTGCTATGTTGCCCATGCTGGCCTTGAACTGCTAGACTCAAGTGACCTTCCTACCTCACCCTCCTGAGTAGCTGGGAATATAGACATGGGCCACCATGTCCAGCCTGTGTATATTTGTTTTATTAGTAATCTGTTTGTGTTTCATGCTTGCGATATTTGACCTTGTTTCTCTGAGGATATTAGTGATAAGGTATTTTGGATTTTTGTTTGTTTCTTTTTTTGTTTTTGTTTTAAGATGGAATCTCTCTCTGTCACCCAGGCTGGAGTGCAGTGGCACGATTTTGGCTCACTGCAACCTCTGCCTCCTGGGTTCAAGCGATTATCTTGCCTCAGCCTCCTGAGTAGCTAGGACTACAGGCATTCGGCACCATGCCCAGATAATTTTCATATTCTTAGTAGAGACGGCGTTCGCAATGTTGGCCAGGCTGGTCTTGAACTCCTGACTTCAGGTGATCCAACTGCCTCGGCCTCCCAAAGTACTGGGATTATAGGCGTGAGTCGCTGCGCCCGGCCTGTTTGTTTCTGATATTTGTGGTATGTGGGTATTATCTATTGCTGCAGAATAAACTACTATAAACCATAGTAGCTTAAAACACCAAGAACCATGTATTTGCAGATGATTTTGCAATTTGGGCAGGAGTCCATGCAGTGTCAGCTGGAGTCCTTCATGCAACTACATTCGCCTGGGAGATAGGCTGGCACTGGAATATCCAAGAATGGTTCCACTCACATGTCCAGCATGGCTGGGGGCCGGCGGGGTCTTTCTCCACGTGGTTGCTCATCATTCAATAATCCTTCCTGAGCTTCACTACATGGTGCACGGATCCCAGAGGCCTCTTGCAGCCCAGACCAGAAGCTGGCGCAGTGTCACTTTTGATGCATTGCATGGGTCAAGGCAAGTCACAGACCAGCCCAGAGTCCATGTGGGAGGGGAAATGGACTCAACCTCTTGATAGAAGGAGGAGGAAAGAATCAGTGTACATGTTTAATCTACCACACCATTTTTTGTTTTTTGTTTTTGAGACAGGGTCTCCTTTGTCACCCAGGCTGGAGTGCAGTGGCATAATCACAGCTCACTGCAGCCTCAATCTTCCAGGCTCAAGCGATCCTCCCACCTCAGCCTTTGGAGTAGCTGGGACCACAGGTACATGCCACCATGCCTAGCTAATTTTTAAATTTTTTTTGTAGAGACCAGGTCTCCCTACATTGCCCAGGCTGGTTTCAAACTCCTAGGCTAAAGCAATCCTCTTGCCTCAGCTTCCCAAAGTGCTAGGATTACAGGTGTGAGCCACTGCACCTGGCCCACAACACCATTAAAAAAAAAAAATTATTGGCTGGGCACAGTGGCTCACGCCTGTAATCTCAGCACTTTGGGAGGCTGAGGCCGGTGGATCACCTGAGGTCAGGAGTTCAAGACCAGCCTGACTAACATGGAGAAACCCCGTCTCTACTAAAAATACAAAAAATTAGCCGGGCGTGGTGGCACATGCCTGTAATCCCAGCTGCTTGGGAGGCTGAGGCAGGAGAATCACTTGAACCTGGGAGGCGGAGGTTGTGCTGAGCCGAGATCATGTCATTGCATTCCAGCCAGGGCAACAAGAGTAAAACCTCGTCTCAAAAAAAAAAAAAAAAAAAAAAGTTCTTTTACTGCCATTTGAATGGGGTTTTGGAGGGAGAAAAAGTCCATGTTTGTGTTAAATCTTCCACTTTTATCCATAATAACTTAGAAGATCAACCTGTTGCCCTTCTCCACCTCTAATTCCCTACCAGTTGCATCCATAGCCCCATTCTAGCACCTTTTACTGTTTTCTACGTACTTCTGCTGAAGCAGGGAGTACCTTGGAAGAGGTAAAACTGAAGTCTTCTTAGCTGAATTTTGTGGAGAATCCTAAGATAGGGCTAAGCAGAATGAGATAGGCCTTTGATAAAATGTTTGAATTCATTTTAATTTTGTTTTGCATCATCTTATTTGTTTTTTCAAACTTGTAACTTTACAAGTTATAAAAAGAAATTGTGGCCAGGCATGGTGGCTCACACCTGTAATCCCAGCACTTTGTGGGGGTGAAGGCGGGAGGATTATTTGAGGCCAGGAGTTTGAGACCAGCCTCGGCAATATAAAAAGCAATGCCTAGGTCCCTCCCCAGATTCCGGATATTGGACCCAGGTATTAACCTTTTTTTTTTTTTTTTTTTTTTTTTTTGAGACGGAGTCTTGCTCTGTTGCCCAGGCTGGAGTGCAGTGGTGTGATCTCAGCTCACTGCAAGCTCTGCCTCCTGGGTTCACGCCATTCTCCTGCCTCAGCCTCCCGAGTAGCTGGGACTACAGGTGCCCGCCACCACGCCCGGCTAATTTTTTTGTATTTTTAGTAGAGACGGAGTTTCACCATGTTAGCCAGGATGGTCTCGATCTCCTGACCTCATGATCTGCCCGCCTCGGCCTCCCAAAGTGCTGGGATTACAGGCGTGAGCCACCGGTATTAAGCATTTTTTAAAGCTTTCTGGATATTCCAGTATGCAGCCACCATTGAGAACTGCTGCCCGTGAAGCGTGTTTATGTCTTCTTGGGAACGAGGGAGGAAAGTTGATGCAGGAGGGAGAAGAGCCCATTTCAGAAGTGAAAACCCAAGAAAGTGAAGGTGGCAGCCCCAGAGCCCAAGTAGGGATGCTGGCAACAAGTAAGGCTGAAGTTCAAGCAACAGAAAATTCCAACTGAAGCTGACTTTCCCAATGCAGTTGGTTATCAGCATCTACAGTAGCAAAGGTAGGGTGTGTGACAGACACAATGAATTACCCGCCCTAATGTCGTTCTCCCTTCTGCCTTCATCAAACCAAAATTTGCTTCAGGGCAGGAATGTGGCCAGCCCCAGTGCTGAATCATGTTTGGTCTAAGTTGAGGGTGATAATGCTGTTCTCTGCCTCCCCAGCCTTGTGGTTACAGCATGGCTGCCCCAGAGATGACCAAGGCCCTGACGTCTTTTGGCCTCTTCTTTCTGCCTTCTGTAGTGTTGACTTCAATCTTGGGCTCTACCCAGGGCTGCTGTTCTGGAATTAGTTCCAGAACTCACGTCCTCGTGCCACAACAACCAGGAGAAGAGAGGGAGTTTTTTTCTGCTAGCACCTGAGGAGGAGGGTTGACGCTTCTCTTTTCCAAAACTCTGGCAGGTGGCTGCCCCCCAGGTCATTTTTCATTGATCACTGTGATCCCTGAACCGACCAGTGTGGCCAGAAGCAGGGAATATACGGAATGGTTTAAGCCAACAATGGTGTATCCCTGGAATTGGGGATGGAGTCAGTCTCATTCAGATCACATGGCTGAGAATAGGAATGGGTAGTTTCATAAAGGAAATCTGTGGGGTTGGTACCAGGAAGATGGGGAACAAAGGCTGGGCAGCAAACCACTCTCACAGCAGAGCAGGAACACATCTTCCATCATAATAGGCAGGAGGCTGGGCAGATGGGTACAGTCACAGAAGGGTCTGTGGGCTGGAGGGCAGGGATGGTGTGAGAGCTCCTTCCTGGTCATTTTACTCTGTCAGTAAGACATGGATGAGGTCTTGCATCAGCTAGGAGGGGTCTGGAAACTTCTGAGTCAGGTCTTGTGCAGGGTGCTGGGGATGAAAGGATAAACAGGACAACATCCTTGCTCTCCAGTAGCTACTGATTTGATGGGAAAAACCCACAGCCCAAGGGAATATAATGGAAGGTATGTGATGGCAGCACCCAGTCCCCTTATTCAGGTAGCAACATCCCCATTTTCCTGTAAAGAATAATTCCTTCCCCATTCTCAGCCCACATGATTACAGTAGAGCTCGCTTCACTCTCTGGCTCCAGGGGTGGGCACATGATTCAGTTTGGGCAAAATTAGGCAGGACTTGGAAATTATCTGGGGATGGTGGCACACGCCTGTACTCCCAGCTACTTGGGAGGCTGAGGCAGGAGGATAGCTTGAGCCCAGGAACTGAGGTTACAGAGTGATTGATGATCCTGCCACTGTACTCCAACCTGGGCAACAGAGCAAGACCCTGTCTTTAAAAACAAACAAACAACAAAAAATCAGCCCTGGGATTTTTTGTTTGTTTGTTTGTTTTAGTTGCTGAGATTATAGTATGTAAGCAAGCCTTGAAATGGTTGCTGGCTATTTCTGTGACCATTTCAGGAGAGCCCACCTGAGAATGAAGACAACACAGACAAAAGCACAGCTGAATGGCATGTAGAGATACAGTGCGGGAGCTCCTGGATGCACCGATACCTGAAGCAAGACCTATTCTTGGTCTCTTTTTTTGGTTACCTGAAGCAAACGTTTCCTTTACAAAAAAATTGAAACCCTTTAGATCAGAAGAATCCTGATGAATACGGAGGTCTCTCAACCCTGTGTATTTGATTCCTGAACTGAGAGCATCACATGTCTCTGTCTTATCTGTTCTGCTCCTCCTCACATCTTTCGTGTCCTGCATCCCTGTCACTCATCCCACCAAAGGGGTCCCTTAGATAATCATGTCATGTATTCATTCAACAAGTATGTCTTATGCGTGTCTACAGGGGTGGCAATGAGCTGGGTGTTGTATGTGTGACAAGGTCAGTGAATATACATGGTGAGCACTCAGCCCCTTCCCAATCCGTGCCCATGGCAGACATTGTTAATCAACCCATGAATTCTTTTTAAGCCTGAAAATGGCCTCAGAATCTTTGTCATCATAGCATTCTAGAGAGGCACAACCAACTGGTTGAAATTGACATAGAAGATGAAACCTAGCGTCATCCTCCTTCTCCTGGATGGCTGCCCCTCCTCTCTGGCTCTGCCCAGTGAGTGCCCACTCTCCTACCTGCTCATGAGAGGAGTGGCAGAGGAGCATGCTGGATCTTCATTCCCTTTGGAAAAGATTGAGAATTTGGCTGCTGCTAGTAAATTGGGAGGATTCTGCTCTGCTCTCCATGAATGTCACTGTCCCTGGCAATAAAGTGTGCATTAGTAGAGTCTGTGGGATTGTTGCACCTGGTTTGGGCATGTCCTTTGATAAAGGATTCCTTTATTATAGGGTCCTCAAAGGCAGCCTCTTTAAACATACCTGGTGGGGACTGGGCCAGTTGTAGAGATGTGTGTTCCAGTCACTCATGTGTAGCTAGTTAGTGCCATGATGGAGGCTGGGGGCTGACAGCTTTGCTGGAAACAAAAGAAAATAAACTTCTCCCATACAATGGAGAACCATACTTTCATTTGGAGCTTTAATATCTCATAGAAAAGACTGTGGCTTTAAAACCATATATCAAAAGGAAAAACACTTTCATCTTGACCTCTTCAACTTATAAAAATGGATCCCTTTCTTAATCATCTAGAATTATATGTATGAATATAAACTGTAAAATTATAAATACCTGAAGATACTTGTACAAAAAGAATAAACTTTCCTTTAATTTAAAAAAAAAAAAAGGGCCAGGTGCAGTGGCTCATGTCTATACTCCCAGGACTTTGGGAGGCAAGAGGCTCACTTGAGCCCAGAGTTTGAGATTAGCTTGGGAAACATAGTGAGACCCTGTCTCTATAAAAATAACAATTAAAAAAAGTAGCCAGTTGTGGTGGTGCACACTTGCAGTTCTAGCTACTCAGGAGGCTGAGGTGGGAGGATCACTTGAGCCCAGGAGGTTAAGGCTGCAGTGAGCAATGATGGCGCCACTGCACTCTCTCCTGGGAGACAGAGTGAGACCCTGTCTCGAAGGAAAGAAGAAACCCCTAGTGTCATCTTCAAGGTAAAATATGGCCCAGGGCAATAGTGGATCCATAACAGAAGGAAGACAGGACTGAAATACTCTAGAGGTTGGGGAGATTGGGGTAATTAGGACTCTTAAATTTGTAAGGAACAGAGATAGTAGAGAGAACTTGAGCAAAGAGGAGAATTTATTGTAAGGACAAAATGCTAGGGATCCAGCAGGGCCTCAGGGATAGCCAAAGGCAGAGACTAGAGCGTTCGTTGTAAGAACTTAGAAAATTCTCTCCATCTCTCTCTTCTCTGCATGTTTGTTTTGTCCTCTCTCGCTTTTCCAGTTCTTTCTGTTTCCAGTTCCCAAGGCAGAGAATGAGTGCCACAACAGCTTGTGTTTATGGATTCTCTAAGAGGTAGACAGACGGTTTTGGAGTGTCTTTGCATCAGCTCCACGTTCCCCAGCAAAGGGCTCTCACTGACCCAGTTTGGGACAGGAACCCACCCGTGGTCCAATTTCCCGTGTCCACTGGGGAGGGTTTATACAAGATGCTAGGCTGGCTGTGCCCACTGGAGGCAAGTTGGCAATGCCAATGAGCTGTGAGGTAGTGTGGATTTCTCAGAAACGATGGGGAGACCATTTCCAGGTAATAGAAAACAAAATCAATATCCCCCATGTGATTTGAGGAAGGCTGCTTGCAGGAGGTAGGTTTAAAACTAGTGTCTGAGGCACTTCATCACTTTCTCCCTAAGCCCTTAAATCCTCCTGCCACCCTGTCTTGCCCCAGATGCCCCTGGTTAAGCCCTATTCCCCTCCCTGGCCCCTGCTCTGGGGCTGCTGAGCCATGCTAAAGAAAAGAACCACGCAGTGTGGGGCCTCTGCAAATGTGAGGACCCCCAGCCCTGGGTGAATAGCTGCCTCCCCTAAGCTGTCTGGTAATTCCCTTATACATTTTCCAAACAGGGAAATCCAATGCGTCCAAGGCCTCAGCTAGCTTTGGCTAGTGGCAGGGTCTTTTCTGGTCAGGGAAATGCACCCTGGCTTCTGGCAATGGCTGAACAGGCCTCATGCTGTCATGGGCTCCAGGCCTCTGGCCCACCTCCACATTCCCTGTGCACCCGCCCGCCGCCCCCAGCCCTGTGATGTCCCTCTTGTGTACGTTGCTATTTGGGTTATTAGTGCCCTCTTATGCCGCAGGCTGGGTCCTTGAGGCTGAGAATGCTTGACACTAGAGAGTGGCTCTTTCCTCAGGGTCTCCACACTCAGGGATCCTGGGCCCCAGGAGGCTGAAGACCTGGGAGATCTGGAACTCCACAAAGACCCCCTCCCCGCTGAGCTCCCTCCCTGTCCCCTACCCTCACCAAAGACCCCTCAAACTCTCACCTGACTCCCTGTCCATTTATCTGATTCATGCCAGACACCCAGCCATCCTTGTCCCTGATGACGCCAGAAAGGAAGCTCTTTGGCAGCCTTTACTTCCCATTAAAAACTTGTGGACTTGGCTGGGCATGTTGGCTCATGCCTGTAATCCCAGCATCTTGGGAGGCCAAGGTGGGAGGATCACCTGAGGTCAGGAGTTCAAGACCAGCCTGGCCAACATAGTGAAATCCTGTCTCCACTAAAAATACAAAAATTAGCTGGGCATGGTGGCGCACACCTGTAATCCCATCTACTCGGGAGGCTGAGGCAGGAGAATCACTTGAACCTGGGAGGTGGAGGTTGCAGTGAGCTGAGATCGTGCCCCTGCACTCCAGCCTGGGTGACAGAGTGAGACTCCATCTCAAGCAAACAAACAAACAAAACATGTGGACTTCATCTCTCCTATTCCTGCTCCCGGCTCAGAGGAAGAGGTTTGCCTTCTGTTGTCCAGAGCTACTTCTATTTCCTCAGGGACTTGGTCCCATCAGTTCTTGCCTCTTTATTAATAATGTAGAGTTTAGATTCCTGTAATGGCTGCTTCCTGGAAGGTCATGTCACGTGGAACCTCTTAATCTCAGCATCCGGAGCTCCAGGAAGGGAAAATTTCAAGTCAGATAGAATTCTATATATACCATTTCTTTGGAACCTTCAGCCCTCAAGATTCCAATATCATGACCTCAGTTTCAACACAGTTGTGCTTAGTCCTCATGTCACTGCTTTTGGTGCTGCCTGTTGTGGAAGCAGTAGAAGGCGGTGATGCAATCGCCCGGGGGTATACGCATGAAAAAGAAATGGACAGATGTGACTTTGAAAGGCCTACTGAGTCAAACCTCACCCTGAAAACCTTTGTGCTATAGAGGCTAAACCTGAGCTTTGGTGTGTGAAAGGTTCCAAGAATCAGTAAATAAGGGAGTTTCACATTTTTCATTGTTTCCATGAAATGGGAACAAACATACATTTATAAATAGAAAAAAAAATGTTTTCTTTACAACAAATAATGCACAGAAAAATGCAGCCTATAATTTGCTAGTTAGAAAGGCGGTCAAAGAAGTAAGATGGCTGAAATTTACATAAGTAATATTTCATAATCTTAGAATTCTCTCAAAGCATGTGAAATAGGAAGAAGGAAGTTCTTGCCCAGAATCTTAGGAAATCACCACTGTTCGGTTATAATCACTGCCTCCTGAATCGTTGAGGAGTCTTTTCTCCATTCCTTTATTAGATTTTTGTTTTGTTGTCTCCCAAGTTAATATTATATTTAGATATTGGAGAGTCAGCCAAAAAGGAAAACTTTTATCTCTGGGGAAAAAACATTTAGAAAAATGTATTCAGTGTATCTAATACTGAAATGCGGAAAAAAATTTAATGTTAAAAAAAAAAACTATTGACATCGACATGGAAAAGAGATTTAGTGTTTTGAAAAAAACTTTATATTAACTGAGTAACATCCTCCTGATGAGAAGTACTATATTAAATATAAACCCATTGTGTTATTAAAAAAATAGTGTAGAGTTTAAGACTTTGGAAAAGTAGAGTCCCAGTGCTCATTTAGTAGCTTTTGTGACCTTGGGCAGTCCAAACGACCTTTCTAAGCCTCAGTGTTAACATCTGTAAAACAGAAGTGTAATAGACAGTTATCCTTGGGTATCCTTAGGGGATTGGTTCCGGGACCCCCTTGGATACCAAAATCTGAGGATGCTCAAGTTCCTGATATAAAATGGTGCAGAAGTATTTGTGTGTAACCTAAGTACAAACTCTTGTGTACCTTAAATCTTTTCTAGATTACCTAATACAATATAAATGCTATGCAAATAGTTGTTATACTGTATTGTTTTTATTTGTATTATTTTTATTGTTGTATTGTTATTTTTTGTTTTGTTTTTTAGATATTGTCTATCTGCTGTTGGTTAAATCTGAGGATGTATAGCTGAGCATCATGGCGCACGCCTGTAATCCCAGCTACTCAGGAGGCTGAGGCAGGAGAATCGCTTGAGCCTGGAAGGCGGAGGTTGCAGTGAGCTGAGATCATGCCACTGCACTGCAGCCTGGGTGATAGAGTGAGACTCCGTTCCCCCTCCCCCTTAAAAAATATCTGAGGATGTAGGTCCTGTGGATACCAATGACCAACTGCACATGCCTCGTGAGATTCTCAAGGTATCAAATGAGGTTTATCAGGTAAAGTGCTTAGCCCAGTTTCTAGCACTTAGCAAGGAAAATAGTACTCCTCCCTCCCCCACACACTCAGAAGATGACCTCACCTTCCACTTTCTTGAAAAAACAGAAACTCTTGATGGAAAGTCCTGGAATGTGCAGCTCCTCCCAGGCCCAAGCTGTCCTATTCTAATCCTCTTTCAAAGGCTTCCCTTCTTCCCATCCAAGGCAATCACTCCGCAGTGCTTGGATCTATCCCCACTGGACACAGGAGCCTCATTCCCCCGTCACCCCATCCCATGTCTCCCTCACAGTACTGGCTTCCCCCCTTCAGCATGCTGATGATCTTAAACCTCTCCCTTCTTCAAAAGAGGAGCACAGGACCTCCAGCTCTGCTTCCCTTCTGGCTCCCAGTGGAGCATCTTGTACAGCTGCATCATCACAGGGCATGTCCTCTGGCCTTCTCTGGGAAGCATTTACTCAGGGAAGGACCAGTTTCTGGGATCAGCTCTGGTCTTGAGATAATCTGAGATCATCTATTTCAGCCACCCCATGGCTGGGCCTCTTCTCCAAGCGCCAGAAAGGCTTCCACCCCTTGGCATCATTGAGGATAAGAGCTCAGCACTGGACCCTCCTCATTGCCTTTTCAGAGCCTGAAGCAGTCTGGGGCCTTCCAGGGCAGACCTTCAAAGCTGGGTATGCAGTCCCTCAGGCCTTGTTTCCACTGGGGCCGCGACCTACCCTGCCCTCGCCTCTGCCCTGGAAGAGAGTGTGGCAGGAGCTCTGGGTGCCCATCCCTTTATCCTTGGATAAAGGCTAAGCCCTGGGAGAGGTGACCCCAGGGACTGTGGTTGAGGACCAGCCAGTCCATGCAGGAGAACCCCTGTGGCCTCAGCGGCCCCTGGTTGATAGTTGCAATAGGAATATGCCGATGGAGGCATGCAGCTTGGGAGTGGGTGATCAAGGCTGAGAGAGAGGCCTAGGAGATGACATGCTGGCCAGAGACAAAGGGAATGATGTTGAGGCGAGGCCATAAAGTGCGTGGCTATGGATAGGTGTCTGCTTGGCATAGTGGTTTGGGTGAGGAGGTGGAGTAGATGGGAAAGCCACCTGTTGAACTTGCAGCCATCAGCACATCGTAATCAAATGGACCAACATTTCATCACCGTGAAAACATCACGAAGGTTTTTGTTTGTTTGTGACAGTCTCGCTCTGGAATGCAGTGGTGTGATCTCAGCTCACTGCAACCTTGACCTTCCGGGCTCAAGTGATCATCCTGCCTCAGCCTCCGGAGTAGCTGGGACTGCAGGTGTGCACCACCATGCTTGGCTAATTTTTGTGTTTTGTAGAGACAAGATTTTGCTATGTTGCCCAGGCTGGTCTAGAACTCCTAGGCTCTAGTGATTCTCTTACCTCAGCCACCCCAAGTGCTGGGATTACAGGCATGAGCCACTGTGCCCAGCCATCGTGAGGGTTTTGAGGTATGAAAGAAGAAGAGAGAGAGAGAGAGAGAGAGAGAGAAAAAGAAAGAAGAGAAAGAAAAGAGAAAGGAAAGAAAGGAAGAAAGAAAGAAAAGAAAGAACCCAACGCAACCTGGCTTAAGCAAAGAAAATAATTTGCTGGCCCATGTTGCTTAAACAGCCGGACTTGGCTTTAGGCCCAGTGAGGTATCCCAGCTCAGACAGTAGCCATCAGGACTTTGTCTCTCTCCATCTGCCAGTTCAGCTCTGTCTTTGTGGTGGCAAGGATCTCTCAATGTCCCATCCTCTCAGCAACCCCCCAAGAAGACAATTTCTCCCCATGGCTTCAAACAACGTCCCAGCACCGAGCTTCATCAGCCTGGCCCAGCTCATCTGTCTTTGAGGCCAGAGGAACGGAATGATTGGGCTGGCCTGAAGGGGGAAGTCAGCAGTCAGTTCTAGCCACTTCCACTGGGATTAAGAATGGGGCACAGATGGCTGCCCACTGCCCAGCAGGATGGATGTAGGAAGGCAGCACAGTCGATGTCCATTACAGGTCATCCTGTCTGGGACATTGGGCCTGGCACGGGAACAGCTGGGCTCCCGGAAGACTTAGGGGCCAGTCACCCACTGGTGATTTTGGGATAGTCTCTCCTGCTCTGAAGCTCCAGGGGCAGGTTTGTGAAGGGTCAGAGGTGGAGTGTGGGTTGTTGATGAGGTCCTGCCCAGAGACCAGTGGACCTCACCTTTCCCATCTGGGGGCCCTGTTCCTTCAGTCTTGGACTCTGGCTCCCATGTTTGTAGGTTATGGTCCATGGGTCATGGAGTCATGGCATAGACAAGCTCTGTCCTTCTCTTCCTTCTTCCCTCCTGCATACAATCAAGGGATGAAGCCACATCACCCACCTTAAAAGCGTCAGAGACCCTGGTCTTTTCCAGCAGCCTGAGAGGCCCGAGACTTCCCCAACTGGTTCTCTGAGCAGAGGAGTTCCTGGGAGCTGTTGGCCCCGGCCACTTCCCCTCTTCAGGCCATCTCTAAGGTTCAACCCTATCTGAAACCCTCCCTGGAAATGGCAGGGCTGAGCGTTCCAGAGATGGGGGTGTCGAGACTACTCTCCTGGCTAAAAGCAGCACACACCACAACATGGAAGACAGCATGCCTTTATTTCACCCACCCTCCCAGGACCCAAATACCATGGCACATGGCCTGGTATCCACGGTGCAAGGTCCAGAAGAGCCCGAGGAACACAGCCCAGCAATGCAGTGTCACAAATCCCTGCCAAGGAGCAGTTCACCCCACCTCCTCAAAGGGGGGTGCCTGGGGTCCACTGCAGATGGGACAGGGAGCAGGGCCCAGACCCTAAGGAGAAGCACAAAAAAAAAAAAAAAAAAAAAAAAGGCGCCAGGTGAGCCCCGGGACACGCTGTAGAGTCTCTGCCGTGGGATTGAAGCAGCAGCTATGAGAGGTCCCTGCTTTGGCCATCACTGCTCTGCCAGCTACAGAGCCATCTCCAAGGCAAGGACAACCGCAAGTGTGGGCTCCTGGCGCAGGCCAGCTGGCAGAGGTAGTGTAAACACATCTGAAGGTGGGGGATGCCCAGTGACCAAGCCAGGCCCCGGTGCTCTCATGCGCTGGGAGTTGCCCAGGCCACAGGAACAGGGTGGGGAGGACTTGAGTCAGCAGAGCCCTGAGACTGGATAACCGACTGGGTCCAGGAAATAAGATTTCCAGAGAAATGGTGGAAACTGCAGAGAAAGGCAGACAGAGACTGCCAGGCAGAAAGGGGACTGTGGGGACACAAAGACAGGAGAATAGAGCAGAAAGGGAGGCAGGAACAGAGAAAGGAGAGGCTGAGGCACAGAGAGGAGGCTGAGGCTTCATCTTTTGCCTTCTCTTCTCCCACTAGATCTGTGAACTCTGGGGTGGGGGTTCCCCAAGTTCTTCTAGCTGGGGAGGGGTCAGGGCTCTTCTATCACATCTGGTCACTTGAGCTTGAGGCCAGCCTGGGAAGGAGGCTGAGTGAAGGTGGGAAGGAACTGGCTCAGCCCTGCCCACTCCACTTCTACCTTAAACTGGGTCTGCCCTCTGGCTCATCCGCCTCTGCTTCCGGGAGGAGCCCTGCCTAAGCCTGTCCCAGCTAATCCCTCTGCACCTAATCCTGGACTCTTCCTTGAGGCAGCCGAAATCACACACCATTAACTACTCCAGGCCCTTGCAGGCAGGGAGAGAGGGAAGGAAGGGGAAGGGCTGCAGGGTCGGGTACGGGAGGGAAGAGACAGGAGGCTGAGAGCTCTATCCACACAGTCAGGTCCAAGGCCAGAGATGTGAATCTGCGCTTCAATCCCTGGGACCTAAGTACAGAGAAAATCTTAAGGAAAATCTTCAAGAATGTAAATAACTTTTAAAAATGTGTGTGTGTGCATGCCCGGGTTTTGTTTTGTTTTTAATCTTTAATTCATCGTATTTAAATTCAATTTAAAATGTTTTTAAAATTGCACTAAATTGCTCTCTGTAGCAACATCACCTTCGGTAACCAGAACTTACAAGTGCTGGATTCTCGATGTTTGATACATTCTTCCTTCACCTTTAGGAAGGAGGGGAATACCACTAAGCTTGTGGAAGTCATGAATCAGTTTAAAAAAAAAAAAAAGAAGGCAAAGTCCCGTCCAGGAGCCCCTGTAATCCTAATACCTGCTAAGGAGTCCTAAGCTCAATGTCTACAGGCACCAGGCAGGAATATAAAGGAATGTTCAAAAAATCTTGGTGTCTCGGAGTCTGTGGGGAGTGGCGACATCTGGATAAAGGGGACTGTTGCTGTTTAGCTGCAGCAGAATGTGGTTAAGTGGTGACACAAGCACCATGTGGGGCTTCTGATTTCAAGAGAAGGGGGAAATCTGCTATACATTTTTAAAATGTGGAAGCTGTTGATTTTTAAATGTTAGCTCAAAACAAAACACTCTATAGGCCAAACAAAAGAAATTTGGTGGCTAGTTTGTAGCCTGGCTTTATGAGATCTTAGAGATTCTAAGATTTAAAGATCTTAGGGTGATTTAGTTCTATGATTCAGAAACTTTAATGAGCGTGTCAATATTTTGTAGGAACTTGTTAAAATGCAGATCCAGACTCAGCAGGTCTGGGGTGGGGCCCTGAGATCCTTCATTTCTAATGAGCTCACAGGCAGTGCCGACCCTGGCCCACCAACCACACTTGGTGTAGTGAAGGTTCAGTTCCGGAATTCCCTCTCACTGTCGTATCCCTGGTCAATGATGTCTCCAGTTCTGCCTTCACACCTCCAGGGACTGGACACTCACTACCTCTGGTGGCAGCCTAGGTGGTTTCCTAGCCTGCTGCAAACTTCTTCCAGGGTCTGTAGCAATGGTGACAGACACCAAGAGTCAAATGTGCCAAGGCCCAGGCTCTGGAAGGTCAGAGTTTCACAAAGGCAACTTCAACTGGGGACTTGCCAGGACAGGGCATTGATAATTGCTGCAAAGGTCAGGCGCGGTGTCTCACACCTGTAATCCCAGCACTTTGGGAGGCCAAGGTGGGCAGATCACTTGATGTCAGTTCAAGACCACCCTGGGCAACATGCTGAAACCCCATCTCTACTAAAATCACACAAAAAAATTACCCGGGCGTGGTGGCGGGTGCCTGTAATCCCAGCTACTCGGCAGGCTGAGGTAGGAGAATCACTTGAACCTGAGAGGAGGAGGTTGCAATGAGTCGAGATTGTGTCACTGCACTGCACTCCAGCCTGGGTGACAAAGTGAGACTCAAAAAAAAAGAAAAAATTCTAAGCAGAGAGGATTTTCTGTCCAACTGCTTGCTCAGCAGCTCCTAGTTAAACAGAGAATGCCGCTCTTTGGATGTTCTGGTCAGTCAAGGTGTGGCACAATTTCCTTTCCTCAAAGCATTGAAGCAAGCTTTTCTCTGCACTTGGGCAAGTTCCCTGATTATACCCACAGGAGAAGCAGCCAGTTTCTGACTGGTGGGAGATGGAGATAGGAATGAAGCTTGAGGCTAAACAGGAGCCCTTGCCCCCTCAGGCCATGTGACAAACCCTGCTCTGGTGGAACAGAACTCCACTTCCTCTGGGGTCGGGCATCAATCCCAGATCCTCCTTCCTGGGTCCCTGAGAGACACTGGGAAGCGGAGAATCCCTGACCCTCACATCCCCTGCTGGACTCAGGGCTCCTGGGGGTGAGGGCCACAAGCCACCCAGCTGTCAGGTGCACAGGGGCCTTGGGAACCACTTAGGCCACCCCCCATTTTGCCACTGAAGGGATCACAGCAGAGCATGCGTGACACTTTCCCAAGGTCACATGGCTGGTTTTGCAACCAGCTCTTGTAAAAGGCCCAAAATCCTTTGAGGCAGAGCTGGGCAGAGTCCACCAGCATTAGACAGACTTCCAGTCACCTATAGCAGCAACTTTCAGGAAAAGGACCTTCCAGAACAATCCTGAAGAAAAGAGGGGTATCTCAGAGGGGAGTCGAGGAAAGGGGTCATGGGGGTTCACCTAGGAAGGAGCGGGTCACGGGTCAGTTTCTTGCAGGAGGGGAGTGGGCACGGCTTCTGCTTTCACATTGTTCTCTGGTGACTGCTGCCCCCTAGAGTTGTCTCTTGTGCAGTGCACAGCCTGTGAGGCTTCTGCGGAAGCCAGGTTTATGCACTGGGGATGAGATAGGGCCAGGGGAGGGGCCACAGAAGGCCCCGATTACGGAGTTTCCTAAGCCTGGATTTCCAAACCACTCCAGATCTACTGAACCAAAATTCCTGCAATGGCTGCTTCCCTCCCAGGGGAAGCCCCGGGGTTTAGGAACCAGCCTGGGCTCTCTAAGTCAGAAAGGGATCGGGACACCTGGCTTGGGTGGGACGTTCTGCAGGCAGCAGAGGGGACGCGGCAGCTGGGGTTGGGGCTGAGGGGGCAGTACCTGTCCGGGGCCGGGCCTCACTTCTCAAGAGAACTGGCCCGGCCGCGCCTTCTCCAGCTTCCGTCGCCGCTCGGGTGGGATCTCCTGCAGGCTGATGCCGTGGTTGCTGGACCTGCAAGGAGGGGGCGGTGGCCTCAGGGAAGGGGAATGGGGCGTGGGAGGGCAGGGCCCACGTCATCGCTGCCTCGCGCGCGGGGGGTCAGACACAGAGCAGGAGGCAGGGGTCCCTCGTCCCTCGCCCTGCCGCGGAGGCCGGCCCCTCACCCCGGTTGCAGGTCAGGCGGTTTGGGGATGGGCTTGTTGAAGCCGCGTCTGCCCACTAGCCAGAAAGTGTCCTCGGCGCCCTTGCCCTGGGGAGACATGGGAGAGGGAAGGACTTAGGCGGACTGGGGTGAGGGGTGGGGGATCTCGAGTCTGCGTGGAACTGGGAGACCAGGTCAGAAGGGTGAGCTGAGGTTTGCAGCCGCGGCCCGGGATGGGCGGTGCCTCAGGACAGGGCGGGGCCTCCGGGAGGGGTTGGGGCCCTGCCTCACCTTCAGCTCCGTGCGGCCTCGCAGCTCCACCTGGTAGCCCGAGTCCAGAGCACGGAGAATCCCCACAGTGCTCAAGTTCACGTGGATGCGGTAAGCTGTGGCGGTGGGGGACGCCGTGAGCTCGGGACTCACCTCCCGTGTCCCCCTCCCACCTCCCCGTCTTGTCCCCGTCACACTCACGCAGCCCGGTGGACTCCATGCGCGAGGCGGTGTTGACCGTGTCCCCAAACAGGCAGTACCGCGGCATGGTGAGGCCCACCACGCCTGCCACGCATGGACCTGTGGAGATGCTGGGGGTCGGCGGGGCTAGCAGGGCCGGCCCTGGGCTGCACCTAGGTAGGGCCTCGGGGGATCTTCGCACCCATTATCTCCACCAGCCCCCCAAATAAGCCTTGTTAAGTGCATCCTCTTCAAGGTAAGCCCCACTCCCCGCTCCATGAGTTGCCTCCTCTACAGGAAATCTGGGGCCAGGCCCTAAAGAGGGAGATGGGCTGGAGCCTGGGAAGACCCGGGAGTTACCCGAGTGCAGGCCTATGCGGATGCGCACGGGAACCTCAGGCATATGGCGCATGCGGAAAGTGCCCACGGCACTGAGGATGTCCAGTGACATGTTGGCGATCTCTGCCGCGTGTCGCTGCCCATTCCGCTGGGGCAGCCCCGAGGCCACCATATAGGCGTCCCCTATTGTCTCCACCTGGGGGAAGAAGGAGTTGTGTGAATTTTCTTTTGAGCATTCCCCCCGAGTACACGAAGCGATTGCCTCTTGTCACCGGGCCCACCTGGGGTTAGTGCAGAACCAGGTTGCTAGTGGAAGGACTGAGCTGGGGACTGGAGGAATAAATAAGGGACAGGAGGTCTGGGAAAGAAGATTGATTGGGCAGGTAGGCTAGGGGCTGCGCAGGAAGGGCTGGGCTGGAGGCTGGTGAAGCTGAATTGAAGGTCAGGAGGGCTTGTCCCCTACACACTGCACCTTGTAGACATCGTGGGAACCAATGATGGCATCAAAGAGTGTGTAGAGATCGTTGAGCAGGTCCACAACCTCAATGGGCTCACTCATGGCAGAGATGGTGGTGAAGCCCACAATGTCACTAAAGTACAGTGTCACTTGCTCAAAGTACTCGGGCTCCACTGGTGTCCCCGTCTTCAAGGCCTCAGCCACAGACCTAGGGATGGCAGGCAGTGAGGTCACCTGGGGGCCACTCTACCTGGCTGGGCTCCAGCTGCCCTCCCAGCCCACCCCTTCCCACTGGCACCCACGGAGGCAGCATCTGTGTAAGCAGCCGGTCTGTCTTCTGCTTTTCCAGCTCCAGCTCCTCCGTGCGCTCCCGGATCAGATCCTCCAGGTTACTAGAGTACTGCTCCAGCATCCGAAGCATCGAGTCAATGATGTTCGTCTTCCGGCCCTTGTTGATGTTCTTGAACTAGCAGTAGAAGGAAGCTGGTAAAGCTGCTGAAGACCTGGGTTGCCATGCCCTCTTTATGCCCCCCTCATGGGCCCTCTCATGGGGCTGTTCACTCTGAACCCCAACCCCGCTGCCACCATTCATCTACTATTCATCAAGCACCCCGGGGTGCTGGGCACTGTGTTTTCAGACACGATTAGGAGGCACGTGGGAAATGAGGGTTCCCAGAGGTCAGTTGATCTCAGCTAGTAATTGACAGGGCACTGGAGCCAGCCCAATCGTTGGGCTCCCAGGCCAAGGGTCTTTCTGTCACAGCAGGCCAAGCACATACTTGGTTCTCAATCAGTGTTATTTGAATTGAATTGAATATTCCTCCCACCCAGACAGAACTCTATCTCCCACTCCAAAAGCCTCCACAGCCCCCATTCCAATTCTGCCCCCAAACTCCGAGTCTTCAGGCTACTCCTTAGGAGGTAGCCTGGAAGGCCAGAGGTCCTGCCAGCCTGCCTGTCTGCAGCTGTCTCAGGTTGCTGACAAGCATCTGGGATCCCAGAGGCCAGCCCAGTCCTTGCCCACTCCCAGCCCCTGACCAGGTCGAAGGTGTGGTCCATGGAGGGCCGAAGTTCCGGCTGCTCTGCCCAGCACTGCTTCATCAGGAGGATACACTCGACAGGTGCCTGGTCCATGGACACCAAGGGCCGACACAGTGGAGGGGGGCTCCGCACCCTCTGCACCACTTCTGGAGGCATGAGGGGACAGTGAGGGGGAGTGCCCCCAGAACACAAAGGCTGCCTCTGACCCTGGCCTGACTGTTGAAGACCAAGATGTGGGAGGGGGTGCCTGGCAGGGGTTTCTTTACATCAGAGGTTCAGTGTGTGTGTGTGGAGGGAGAGTATAGTGTGGAAGGGGGTTGCTAGGAGGAACAAGAGGACCTCGAACTCTGGGGGTCAGTAAGAGGTGACATAGGCAAAGAAACTAACATATTGTATGTAAGACAAGTGAGGGATAGGTGATCAAGTAGTTTGCTCAGAGTCCTGTGCAGAAGGGATGCACCCACTCCCCCTCCCCTGCTCCTCCCAGGGACCCCTGAGAACAGAGAGGAGTCTGTTCTGTCAGTTGTGGAAACAGTTTGGTTCCAGCATCAAGAAAGAGGAAGCTGTTGTGGTCTGGGACCTAATGAACCACGCTCCCCACCCTGGCCATGCACGGCTTTCTGCACCCAGACCTGCAGATGCCAGCTTTAAGGGGGCCTCCGTATAATTGAGTTTCATCACTGGGCTTTGCTTTAGAGGAAAGAGTGAGGCTGGCTCTTTTCTAACTGCAGGGTGCCCCTGTGGGCCGAACTCCACGCACAGGGCAGCCTTACCCTCGGGAGTGAGCTCCAGCATGGCATAAGGGGCACTGCGGCACACTACTTCTTGCATGATGATGGCCAAGCTAAAGACGTCGCCGGCCAGCGTTCCCCGGCGCTCCAGGGCTGGGTCCCTAAGCAGCTCCGGGGCTGTCCACAGCTGGTCTGGGGATGGGGAAGGGGCTGAGGCGCCGCTGGGGAAAGACTCCCACCCTCACCAGAAAGCCCAGGTTGGCACCCAGACACCACCAACCCTGCAGCCTGAGACCGGTCTGAGACCCTGCAACCTGAGACCAGCCCTGCAACTATCTCTAGGAGCCATCTCAGAGAAAGCCTGGCAAATAGGCCTTGCCCTTCAGAAAAGGTGGTGCCCAGGGAAGGCTCCGTCTCTTGGGCACAAGCCCCACCCTCAGGCAAACTTGTAATCAGAGCAAACCCTGCTGCAGGCAGCTCAGGTACAAGTCCCGCCCCCAGCAGCCCCGTCTCCGAAGTCACAGAGCCCACCCTCTCAGAGGCCACAAGATCTTTTCTGTAGCAGGAATTGTGTCTGGTGGATGTGGGATGAAGAGAGTGCGAGGGCAGAGGTAGGGAGGAAGCGGGGGAGAAGCCCTTGAAATAATGGGGATCCCGGTGGATCCTCGTCTGCACAGGGGACTCTTACCCTCCGCTCTGGGAGGCTCCGGTAGCACCTTCTGTGCTTCCAGCAGTCTCCCGTGGCCGTGGTCAGTGATCTTGAGTACGAATCTGCCATCCACTATGCAGTTCCGTGACTTCAGCCGCCCATGAGCCACGCCTCGATGGTGCAGATACCTTATTCCCTTGGAATGGGTAGGGTAAGAGGCAGCCTCAGCCTGCTTGGTTCCCTTGCTCCCCATCCCTGCCCCCAGGACGTCACCCCACCACCCCCAGACACACACCTTGATAAGGTCCAGCAGGAGGGAGGACTTGAACATCCAGTCCAGCTTTATTTCTCTCTGAGCGAGGAGGTCCTGAAGAGAGCCCCGCGTGCAGTGCTCTGAGACCACAGCCAGGTTGCCCTCCCAGAGGGCCGCAGGGCCTTCTGCTCCCCGAGCCAGGAAAAGCCCCAGGTAGAGGGCCACGTTCTCATGCCGGAGCTCCTGGAGCTGAGAGGGGGAGAGTTGACTTGCATTTTCTGCCCAGGGCAATGTGGGGAAGGGGCTGTTAATCAAGATCTGTTTTTGAGTATCCAGACCCAGAAGATGAGATTTTTACAAATGGTGGATGAAATGGTTGATAAGGTATGTACGGGGGCTCTCTTCTACACATAGTCCTATTTTTGGAAAAAACAATATAGTCAAAGGCCACTGTTTGGATACTGAGTATGGTTTAGCCTAATGCTGTGAATGAAAAGACAACTTTGCATTGGTGATCAGGACCCAGGCAGGTTCGGATTTATTGATCATAAGCCTTTTTTTTTAGACACGAGGTCTCACTCTGTTGCCCAGACTGGAGTGCAGCGGCATGATCATAAATCACTGCTACCTTTCATTCCTTGGTTCAAGTGATCCTCCTACCTCAGCCTCCTGAATAGCTGGGACTACAGGCTTGTGCCACCATGCCTAGATAACATTTAAAATTTTTTTTCTGTAGAGATGGGAGCCTTGCTATGTTGCCCAGGCTGGTCTTGAACTCCTGGCTTCAAATGATCCTCCCACCTCAGCCTCCCAAAGTGCTGGGATTATAGGCCTGAGCCACCACACCTGGCCCCAGCCATAAAACTCTGAACTGCCTGGGTCTTAAGGGAAGCAGCTCATGAAGGAGAAGCTCCTGGAACCACCATCCTCTCCTGATTTAACAGCCTTTGCTGGGAGAGCCAGGGAGGAGCGGTGCCACTTTCTTTCTTTTCTTTTGTTTATGTATTTTTTTTTTAGACAGATTCTTACTCTGTCACCCAGGCTGGATTGCAGTCGTGCAATCTCGGGTCACTGCAACCTCCGCATCCTGAGCTCAAGCGATTCTCCCGTCTCAGCCTCCCGAATAGCTGGGATTACAGGTGTGTGCCATCATGCCTGGCTAATTTTTGTATTTTTAGTAGAGATGGGGTTTTGCTATGTTGGCCAGTCTGGTCTCGAACTCCTGACCTCAGGTGGTCCATCCACCTCAGCCTCCCAAAGTGCTGGGATTACAGGCGTGAGCCACGGTGCCCGGCCTGAAGCTGTGCCACTTTCAAAGGACACCAGAAATGGCGTGTGCCTGCAACCTGGCCGGGGGCTGCTCTGCTTGGCGTTACGTCATTGTGTCAGTCGGGTCTGAGACTCCCACCCTCCCTCAGTTAGGGAAGACAGGACTGACTGCTCTGCAGGACAGTGCCCTCACAATCGGGGCATGCTAGAAAAAAAGGTGGCTTAGCTGGCTGACTGGTGCCCTTTCTAGCTTTTCCCTCCACATGCCCAATAAGGGGATACTTTTCTTTCCTTTCCTTTTTTTTTTTTTTTTTTGAGACGGAATCTTGCTCTGTCGCCCAGGCTGAAGTGCAGTGCCGCGATCTCGGCTTACTGCAAGCTCCGCCTCCCGGGTTCACGCCATTCTTCTGCCTCAGCCTCCCACAGTAGCTGGGACTACAGGCGCCCGCCACCACACCCGGCTAATTTTTTTTGTATTTTTAGTAGAGACGGGGTTTCACCGTGTTAGCCAGGATGGTCTCGATCTCCTGACCTCGTGATCCGCCCGCCTCGGCCTCCCAAAGTGCTGGGATCACAGGTGTGAGCCACCGCGCCCAGATACTTTTCATTTTAAACACCTGGTATTAAATGGTGATCGAGTTCATTAATCCCCATACACATAGTCCACTTAAGTCACTGCATCTGTGACCAAGAGCTCCTGTAGAGGAATCAGGGAAGAAGGCCAGGCCCAGGCTGCATGGCATGGAGATAAAGGGAGACATTAAGGTTGTAAGGACCAGAATAAGCCATTTACAGCCTCCTTGCCAACTTTGCACTTCATTCAGAATGTCCAGGGCTATTCTGCACAAGTGGCCTGACAGAACCGGAAACTCATTTTTTATTTTCTATCATTAGATCAACAAACATTCACTGGGTCTCTCTAATGTTCCAGACACTGTGTTGGGTGCTTGATTACAATGGAGGGGAGTGAGGAGGCCCTCACTCAGCTTACAGTCCAGCGAGAGAGGCAGAAACAAGCAGGCAGACAGATGAACATACAATTGCACATTGCAACAAGATCAAAGGAAAGAACTAGTGGTGTGGCAGAGAATAATGAAAGCCTACTCCAGGGTGGAGGAAACATGTTTTTTTTTTTCTTTCTTAATTTTGACAGGGTCTTGCTCTGTCACCCAGGCTGGAGTGCAGTAGTATGATCACAGCCCACGGTAACCTCCAACTCCCAGGCTCAAATAATCCTCCCTCCTCACCCTCTGAAGAGTAGCTGGGACTACAGGCATGTAACGCCACACCCAGCTAATTTTAAAATTTTTGGAGAGATAGGGTTTCTTTATGTTGCCCAGGCTGGTCTTGAACTCCTGGCCTCAGGTGATCCTCCCTCACATCTGCCTCTCAAAGTGCCAGGATTACACGTATGAGCCACCACACTCAGCCAGAGGGGACACTTAACTGAGACCTACCTCTGTACCCAGCTGCAAAGAGAAGGCAAGGAGGGAGAAACCGATGGCCACCTAGGCCCCATCACAGGCCCAAGTCTCACCTTGGAGAAGGCCGTCTTGGTTGCTGGGCGGATAGCTATGTGCTGATCCCCTGGGAATTTCTTCAGCCAAACCCTGTCTCCCTGCAGCAAAGAGGATGGGGGTAGGGAACTCAGTCTCTTAAAATCCCACGATGGGGAGCCCTAGAACCCCTCCCCCTCATTTCCATTGGCTCACTGTCCCAGAATGCATCTTCCATGTGACAAAATGCATTGAACCAAGGGGTTTGATGTATGCCCATCCACTTCACAGCCATCTGGGAGAGGGCCCACCCCTGGATGACAGAGATTCTGAAGCCATGGATGGCTGTCCTCACCAACCCAGCTGTGCCCACCAATAGTCCTATTAAGTGCATTAATACAACCACAAGTGTCATCGACATCACAACCCTCATTACCATCCACTGCCATGAGAGAACATGTTCTGGGAGTAAAAAATCTGGGTAGATCAGGCTTTATTGAAAACTAACTGAACTATAGACAGCTCCCCTCCTGATGCTGGACCTCATCCTCAACTGTTGGCAGGGCCGGTTCACAGGCATGGGACCTGTGCAGTCACACAGGGCCTCGTGCTCCGAAGGGCCCAAGCTTGGTTCAATGACCTCCTGCCATCATCATGAATGAACGAGGAGCCCCTCATTTCTATCTTGCCCTGGATCTCGCTAATTATGCAGGTGGCCCTGTCTTGTTTATAAGGGATTTGGACTAGAAGGGAATTTAGAAGGGAATTGGGGTTTAGTACTGACCCCTAAGGAGCATTTGGAAATAAATGTGGGGAAAGTTTTAACTGTCACAAAAACTAGGAGCTGCATTAGTGGACAGGGCCAGAGACAAGAAACACTAAATATTCTTCAAGGCACAGAGTAGTCCCATACAATTTAGGACAATCTGCCCCAAATGACAATAGTGCCTCCTCTGAGAATTGGCCATGATGATCTCTAGGTGACATGATAGGAGCCTCTGCATTCCTTCCCATGACCTGAAGCCCAGGAGCTCTAAATTTCTACTCTCTTGATTTGCTCAGCACTCTCAGCTCTCTCTCAATCTGTTCTCATCATCTCCCCTCCACTTGACCGCATTCAGATTTACCAGCCCCAAAGTTAATGTCCTAATACTTTTTTGTGACTTTCTTTTCCCCCTCTAGGGGTTGCTATTCCTGAGTCTGGTCTGAATTGGGTGGAAATGCTGAGGGGCAGGGCCAGAGGCTCTGACCAGGCCGGAGATGGTCTCAGTGGCCACACCATGTTACCTGCTGGTCCCAGCATGCTCCCTGGCAGCTCCAGCCTCCAGTCTCTGGGTCACTGTGGTTAGCTTTTGAGGAGCCCTTACCCAGATAGTGGCTAGAGAAAAATCCTTGGGGAGGGAAGATTCCTAGGTGCTTCCCTTTGAGGGATCCATGACCTTTCCCTAGATCCTGTCTGGGCTCCCATCCCCCATCTCCTGGAGCCTGCAGGATTTGACATGACTACATGTCCTCCTGAGAGTGCGCCTCCCCTCTGCCCAGGGCCTGAGCATTCTTCCCCCACTGTCTCTCTGTCTGGCTGGGGTCAGGCTCACCTCATAGACACCAATGTTGGGGCTGTCCAAGTGTTGGCTGGGGCCGCTGCGAATGTCTGACATGCTGCGGGCACCCAGACTTGATCGACTCCCCTGGGCCACCTAGCAGGTAGAGGTCAATGCAAGAGGTCAAAATATATTCTGGTGTCAGAGTCCTGGGTTGAGGTCAGGCTGAGTTTTGGGGATTTAAAGATGGGAGGCGAAGGAATCTCAATGAGGGAAGGTGATAATGACATTACTCCCCAAGTGCACGCTTTACAGTTTACAAAGCAAACATTCATTTTCTTGTTGGAGCTTCACCTCCCCGCCAGGAAAGTAGTCAGGACAGGTACTGTTACCCTCATTGCACAGATGAGGGTGCTGATCCCTAGACTTCAGACGTGGGACAGAACTGGGGTAGAAATCAGGCTTCCCAAGTAGGGAGCTGGGGTCGGGACTGGCCCAGGGAAGGAACCAAATTTACGGAAAGAAGACAACTGGCTCCTGCCTCTCTGCCTCCCCCACCTTTCGAGAGGTGCCCCCATGTGGGTGGAGAAAGGTGATGTCGTCCACGGTCAGGATGATCTTGTTGGGGCCGGAGACCATTTGCATGTGAAGTAGCCGGTGCCTGGTGGAGAAAGAGGTCACCTCCACCAAGGGCACCAAGTTCCGTCAGAAGAGACCAGCAGGGGATGCGGGGGAGGGATAACGTTGGCTCAGGGGAGGGGTCCTGGAGGGCAGCCATCCCCAAAGCACACATCCCCTGGGACTCTACCAGCCCACCAGAACACCCTCACCCCAAGAAAAATCTCCTCCTCTACTCCTGAGTGAACCCAGCCTGCTGTTTTTGCTGCAGACTTCCATTTCTGGCACAAGCTCACTTCCTACTTACCTCATTCCACTACTCACCTCACATAATGGGCCAGGAAGGCCCCAGCCAGCCCCATCCCAACCACCAGGAGGAAGCCAAGAAAGACGAGGCCCGGCTCCAGTCCTGAAGGGACAGTGACAGGAGGTATACTGAGGAGCGATGCCAGGGGAGGCCTCTTCTCTAGGGAGGCATGCCACATGCTGGCCCCTCCAGGAAAGGGGGATGGGGGCCCAGAGAGGCTCTAGGGGTAGGTCATAGTTCCTCAAAGGGGAGAGGCTGGGAATGATAGAAAATTTCCAAGAGGGCTTTGGAGCTCAGCAAGAGAGGGGTCCTGTGCAAGCCAGAGGCTGGGAGAGGGCCTAGAAGGGCATCGAAGACGGATTACAGGATAGGAGTCCACTCTCTTTCATCACTTTGTGGATGGTCCATGGCGATTGTCTCAGTGGGGACTGGGGTGCTCGCCCTCACCTCCACCGCAGATGTTGTTTGGATCGAACCAGCACGAGGGGTCAGGTCCGGGTGCTGATCCCCCACGCGGGAAGTGCATCCGGGTACCGGCGGAGAGGAAGGAGCCCCGGGCAGGATCCAGCATGTATGTGGCAAAAAGCCGGTCTCCCGCCGCGTCCGTGTCTAGCAGCACGAATGGGGGCTCCTCGTCTCCTCCTAGGTCCCCGCAGAAGCCAGGGACCTGCGCATCCCGGATGTGGCGGGCCACAGCTGCTCCGGACACCCATCTGCCACCTGCGGCAGCCCGCGCTTCTGCCACGCCCCTTGCCAGCAAGAAGACCGCGTCATAGATGGTGCCAAAGAGTGGGGAGACCTGGAGAAGGAGAGTAGGGGCTCAGAGGTCGGGGTCACAGCCCACAGACAGACCAGATTCTTTCACTGCCTGTCAAGCCCAGGGTATCCACTGTTGCCACCTTCCAGTTAGTTGTTCCCAGGATCCCTCCCCATTGGCTATCTCTTCCTCCCTCCCCATTGGCTCTCTTCCTCCCTCCCCATTGGCTCTCTCTTCCTCCCTCCCCACTGGCTCTCTCTTCCTCCCTCTCCTATTGGCTGTCACACCTGCTCTCCCCACTAACTGGTTCCTCTTTTCAGGACTCAGCCTCCTCTCTGACCATTGGTTGATTCTAATTCTCCATCACCTGTAGGTCCTCTCTTCTTCCTGTTGGTTGCCCAGCATATAGTTTTAACCTCATCACCTACCATTCACCTAAAAGCCTTCTCACCTATCTTTTGGTTGGCTTCTATTTTCTGTTGTTCCTTAAAAAAACAAACAAACAAACAAAAAAACTAAACAAAAAACAAACAAAAAACCTTCTCTATTGTTACCACCCGATCTTATCAGGCTTCTCTATTATTCCCAGTTGCCATCTCTCAGAGAGCCAGGCACTGTGCAGAGCACTAAAGATGTATCAGTGTACAAGACAGACCCCGTCTCAAGGAACCTTTCTTCTTGCCAAAGAGACAGGGGTGTTCAGGCAGTGCAATGAGTAAAAGTAGGGGAAACTGAGGGAGCTGCAGAGACAGGAATGGGTGTCCCCACCCTAGGCTGTGGACAGAGAAGGAGCTGTTAGAAGTGACCATCCTTCAGGGGATGAGTCAGAATTATCCAGGGGAGGCAGGGACAAGAGAGAGGAAACAGCACACTCAGAAGCTCAGAGGCAAAAGAGAAGGACACATTCCAAGAACCCAGAGTAGCTTGGTCTGGCTGAAGTTCATGGGAGGTGGAAGAGAGAGAAAGACAGGTGACCTGGTAAGCCATGTGGAGAGGCCTGCATCTATCCAGGGCAACAGAAGCCACTGTGAGGCTTTGAACAGGGGCATGACAGGGTGAGATCTGTCAGATTTCTGAAGCTTGATCTGGAGAAAGGTGTTGGGCAGGTGAGTGTTGAAGCAGAGACCATCTGAGAGATTATGTTTTGGGATTTGGGCTGGGGGTGCTGTGGCCTGAATCAGGGCAGTGACAGTAAAGATGGAGAAAGCGGATGAATTCGAATGATCTTTAGGAAGTAACAGTAACAGGGCTTGATGCCTGGAAGTGGGGGCGAAGAATTCAAGGAATCAAGGGTGACTCACACGCTCAGAGGCTTGCGCAGTTTGGGCAGTGGAGAGGACTGCTGTGGTACTTACTGAGAGCTGAAGGGCTTTTCTCTCTCTACTTTCTCAACCTCCCTCTCTCCACTGACCGACCCTCCCTCCATCCCATCTCATTATGATTCCTATCTTGTATTCTCTTCTGACTATTCCCATCACTGCACCCCTCCCCCCTCCATTGGACACCTCCAATCCTCTTGGAAGAATCTAGGGGCATCGATGGGAAATTGCAACCCCTACGACCCTTCTCTCATGCAGCCGCCTGTGAGTTGGACCTTTGTGGTGGTTAATTCACTGCCCGTTGACATCTAAATTCCCTTCTCATAGTGGTTTCTAGTCCCCCTTTGTGGCGGGAGTAAAGTTAGATGATCTGAACTGGGATTCTGGGGACTTGGGGATCCCTAGGTATTAGCTGGATGTTGGAAATACACTATGGATCTGGTTAGGATTGCCCCTGAATCCACCCAGGGAACTTTCTGCTTCTTGCAAGGTGTCTAGGCCCTTGAAAAGCTAAGACCACCAGATGAGGCCCCAGAGGAAATACCTCTGAACTAGGGATGAAGGTTGGATTGGCATCCTCCCTCCTTCCTGCTTTCAAGAACACCAAGTATTTATTTTAGACAGCTGGGAGTATGTGGTGGTGGAAACGGGTTTACTTTGAAGCCAATTGCAAAAGGTTTTGCAGTTTACAGTTCATTAGAGTTTACTGCTTGATGTTGGACTTGAGAGGTCGAATTGCCTACTCTCTAGAGGCAATCCTCGTACACTAAGAGACCCCAAGTGGGGCCAGAGCCTCTACATTACCCAGGAAACTCCAAACAGCTAGAGCTGCCAGTGGTTCTTTCTCCATTGGCTGCATCCTCCTCTCCCTGCTTTGGCTGTCCTCTCCCCTCTCCCTTGCCTTCTTCCCTCCTCCCGGGACCGTCTACCTGCTGCAGATTGAGGTCAGAGGGCAGCTCGCGGCGCTCTTGAGCCCTGCGCAGGCTGTCCAGCACGCTGCCTTCAGAGGGACAGTGGCGCGTGAGGGTGAGCACGGCATCGTGGGCCCTGCGAAGCTGGGAGCTGTTGGCGAGTGCGGCCAAGGCCTCCGGGCCTGGGGACAAGGCGTAGTGGATCGTGTCGAAGGGCAGGAAGACCAGGGAGCCATCGGTCAGGCCCAGCTCCTCTGCGGCCTCCAGGAGGTAGCGCTGCTCCTCGCCACCCAGCAGCACCGAGTGCATCACCATGATCACTGCTGCGGACAGAGGCTTGGCTCGCGGCGCCGTCCGGCTGCCGGCAGGACCAGCCGACCTCCTCGCACCCTGCAAGGGAGCCTACCTGTGACCCTGGGCCCGTCCCGAACCTTCCTCAGGGCCTCCCGGGCTCCAGACAGGTCCAAGGGCTCCATGGAAGTCACGGAGGCGACAGGCAGGCCCCGGGCCCTGAGTGCCGTGGACAGTGAGCGTCCCGCCTCCACCCACAGGTCCTGGGGGGCGGTGACCAGGGCCACGCGCGCCCAGCCGAATGCGCGAAGCAGGGCGTAGAGGGCATCCGCGGCGGGGGTCACGGCAGGGGCCGTGGTGCCCTCCGCCTGCGTCCAGGGGCAGCCCCAGGGCACCAGCGCGATCCCGGCTTCTTCGGCGAGCAGCTCGGCTGGCCGGCAGGCCGCAGGGTTCACCGGACCCACGAGGCCCGACACGCGGGCCAGCGCGGAGGACACGGCCCCCAGCGAGCCCGGCGTCCGGCAAGGCTCGGGCAGCAGCGCTACCTCGAAGCGGGGACCGCCTGCCAGGCCGGGGTCGCGGTTCAGGCGGGCGGCGGCCAGGCGGGCGGCCAGGTCCGGGCGAGCCCGAGAGAAGATGGGGTCGCAAGCCCAGGGGCCCAGGACCCCCACCGTGAACACGGCGGAGAGGGCGGGGGGCTGCAGCAGAAGCAGGAGCAGCAGGAGCGGGAGCCGGGGCAGGGCCCGGGGGAGGCGGGGCAGGGACGGAGCCCACCACGCGGGACCGCAGAGCCCGGGGTCCGGAAGCCCACCCGCTCGGCGGGCGCAGGCGGTCATTGCCGGCTTCTGCGAACACAGACGGAGCAGGCTGAGCGACTGAGACCCCGGCCTCCCCTAGGGTTCTCCCCGTAACCCCGAGTTTCTCCAAGCCCGAGTAACCCATGGGATGATTCTGCTGCTACCGCCCCCTCCGGAGGCTGGGAAGACTAACTGGGGCCAAGGACACCGCCCCGAAGCCCCCTTCTGCCGCCCCGGCTTCCCGCTCCCACCCGGCCTGCCCCTCCCCCCGTCGGAGGCGTCAGGGGTCAGCAGGGACTCGCCTGCGCCCTCAGACCGACCCTATCCCAGCGGAGGGGCCTCTGACATTTACAGGGAAGTCCGGGGGCTCGGGCCCACGGCCCCCGGTGAGGGGTCACAGGGCCGGTCCCCCTTTTGACGCCCGCCCACAGGTCTTCCTTGCCAGCCCAGGCCAGGGCGGGGGCGTGGGTACAGCCGGCCAGAGCCCTTAATCTCCCCAAGCTGATTAGGGTCCTTAATTAGGTAGGGAGGGGCGGGCTAGTGGAGGATGAGAGCCCCTACTGCGCCTTTCTGGGGTGGGATCTGTCCTGGCTTCCAGGTAGTCAGCCAGATCCTTTCCCCTCCATGCCTTCCAGCCCCCCACATCACCCTCATCACCACCACCCCTGCACAAAAGCAGCCGCAGCTTCCCCTTTCAGCCGTCGGCCACACTGCCCTGCTCAGCCAGAAAGTAACAAGTGCCTGCCCGTGGACAGCTGTGGGTAATCCGTCCTGGAGAAGAAACACTGATCCCAGTCCCTTTCCTTACAATCTTCTGTTTCCAGTTCTGCCAGCTAAGTTCAAGCTCCATCCTTTGGCTGGCAAAGTCTATATCCCAGAGACCAAACCCACACCAAGCTGACACCTGCCTTTCTTCTTTCACTTCTCTTCTCTCTCTCGCCACACTTGATTCCCTGACCTCTGCTTCTCCATGCCTAGAAAACCACCCTCAGGAAGTAATGAAAAGAGCTTTGGCCTCCGACAGACCTGGGTTCCAAGTCCCTCTTGCTGATTTTTGGACCTTGGGCAATTGCTTAATCTGAGGGTTGTTGTGAAAATGAATATAATTGCCCGGATGGCAAGAATAGCTAACAATTTTAGAGAAGAGTATAATGGAAGATGCCCTATAAGATATACAAATTTATTATAAAGCAATAGCAATTATGTATTTATGTAAATATATAATATATAAAACATAGCAATTATATATCTACATAAATATATAATATATAAAACATAGCAATTATATATTTATATAATTATATGATATATAAAACAGCAATTATATAAATATATACTATAAAGCTATAGCAATTATATATTATATATTTATATAAATCCACATTATGTAGTGACAGCAATTATATATTTATATAAATATATATTATAAAGCTATGGCAATAAAGACTTCATAGTTTTGGCACAAGGATAAACAAATGGACCAATGAAATAGAATATACAGTACTGAAACAAACACAGCAAATGTGTGAAGACGTGGACATTTCTTACCAACTGGGAAAGAATAAACTTCAACAAATGGAGCTGATTAGCCATCTGGGGGGAAAATAGAATTCAATCCCTATCTCACACCATACACAAAATCTATTCCAGGTCAAAGACCTATATGTGAAAAATAAAACTTAAAAACTTTTAAATGAATCATTTTCAGACTTGGTGGCAAAGATTGGATCAGGTAAGAATCATCAGTGGATTCTAAAGCTGGGGGAAATGTTGGATGAGGAGCAGAACTTTTGCAGGGTCTGAAAGTATCTCCCTCCAGATTGCCATGAGTTGGAAGGGAGTGGGGAATAAAATAAAAAGCAGTCATTGTACAGTGGAGAAATGGGGCAATACTTTAAGCAAGTGATCAAAATTAACCATGAGGGGCAGAGAGACATTCTTTGCCTCCAGATGTGATACCCTGAGAAGGACATAATACTACACCTATGCAGTGCTGCACAATACGTCTCGGCAATGTTCCAGCATTATTTCAAATCTAATCACAAGGAAACATAAGATAAACACTAAATGAGAAACGTTCTATTTAAAAAGGTGGGGAGGACTGCATTCTTCAAAAATGTCAATGTCATAGAAGGCAAATAGAGGTTGAGGAACTGTTTCAGATTAAAGAAACCTAAAAAGACATGACAATTATATGCAACACCTGCCCTTAGTTTGGATTCTGTATCATTGGATTTTTTTAAAGTGCTATAAGGTTATAGGGCTTGAGGCCGGGCACCGTGGCTCACGCCTATAATCCCAGCACTTTGGGAGGCCGAGGCAGGCGGATCACTTGAGGTCAGGAGTTTGAGACCAGCCTGGCCAACATGGTGAAGTCCCGTCTCTACTAAAAATACAAAAATTAGCCGCGGGTGGTGGAGTGCACCTGTAATCCCAGCTGCTCAGGAGGCTGAGGCAAGAGAATCACCTGAACCTGGGAAGCAGAGTTTGCAGTGAGCCAATATCGCGCCACTGCACTCCAGCCTAAGCAACAAAGTGAGACTCCATCTCAAAAAACAAAAAAAGAAAAGAAAAATGGTTATAGGGCGGCATGGGGTTATAAAAATGCTATAAAGAACATCAACATTAACAAAAAAATTGGCAATTGACAAAATTGGAATATCACAGGAGATTCAAAAGAGTATAAAGTTATAAAGTTAATAATGGTAGTGTAGTTATGTTAGACTATCCCTGTTCATAGGAAATACACACTGAAGTATTTAATGGTAAAGCATCATGTATATAACTGACCCTCAAGCAGTCCAGAAAAAATATATATTAGATATGATATATGGTATGTTTTATATATTATCTATTTCAAATGATAAACAAATAGGGTAAAATGCTAACAATAGGTGAATCTGGGTAAACAGCCTGTGAGTGTTCTTTGCATATTTTTTATTTTTGCAACATTTTTTAAGTTTGAAATTATTTCCAAATAAAGTTAATTAAAAATTTTAGATTATAGAATTCAAAGAAAGTAGATCTGCTCTGAAGAACAAAGAAAAAAAATAAGAAAATAGAAAAATTTAAAAAGAGCAGAAATTTTTAAGAGAAAAAAAGACATAGATTGAAAAGACATCTTTATCAATTCAGGGTAGGAATGGATTTATTAAGCAAGACACATAGGCTGGGCATGGTGGCTCATGCCTGTAATCCCAGCACTTTGGGAGGCAGAGGCTGGCGGATCATATATATATATGGCAAAATATTAACATCTGTTAGTTTTTGGTGGTAAACAATCGCTATATGTAGGGATTTTCTGTATGCTTGAAATGTTTTCTAATTTAAATTAAAAAAAATTTGTCAACAAAAATTTAGATGTCTGACCTGTAGCAGACTTCCAAAATCCAGTAGACATCAATATTCGTTTCTACAGTGCTGTGCTTCTTACCTTCCATAAGAGTTACCTCCCCACATCTCCTGTCTTCTGACTCAACATCTCTACATGAAATTGTGGAAACTCCAGCCAACTCTTTCATTTCACACATGATGAGAATGAGGTCCAGAGACCAATTTGGTTAAATTGACAATCTCCCAATTTTCCTCTAGGGTCCATGGACAGATGGGTAATATAGATGAAGATGAAGGGGGGATTTTTAAAATCTTTTTGTCATAAAATATACCTAACATAAAATTTACCATTTTAACTTTTTTTTTTTTTTTTTTTTTGAGACAGAGTCTCACTCAGCTGCCCAGGATGGAGTGCAGTGGTGTGATCTTGGCTCACTGCAACCTCCGCCCCCCGGGTTCAAGCGATTCTCCTGCCTCAGCCTCCCGAGTAGCTGGGATTACAGGCACCCGCCACCACGCCCAGCTAATTTTTGTATTTTTAGTGGAGACGGGGTTTCACCTTGTTGGCCAGAATGGTCTCGATCTCTTGACCTCGTGATCCGCCTGCCTCAGCCTCCCAAAGTGCTGGGATTACAGGGGTGAGCCACCGCGCCCAGTCTCCCCACTTTAACATTTTTAAAGTGTACAATTCAGTGGTGTTAAGTAAATTCATATTGTTGTGCAACCATCACCACTGTCCATCTCCAGAACTTTTCCATCTTACCCAATTGAAACTCTGTGCCCATTAAATACTAGCTCCCCATTTCCCCTCCCTCCAGCCCCCAGAAACCACTGTTCTTATTTTTTTTTCCTTTTTATTTTTTAGAGACCGGGTCTTGCACTGTTGCCCAGGCTGGAGTACAATGGCACGATCTCAGCTCACTATAGCCTCAACCTCCTGGGCTCACACAATCCTCCCACCTCAGCCTCCCAAGCAGCTGGGATCACAGGCATGTGCCACTATGCCTGGCTAATTTTTTGAAATTTGGCAGAGATGAGGGTCTCACTATGTTGCCTAGGCTGGTCTCCAACTCCTGGGCTCAAGTAATCCTCCCACCTCAGCCTCCCAATGTGCTGGGATTACAGGTGTGAGCCATTGCCCCCGGCCCATCATTCTTTCTGTCTCTATGAATTTGACTACTTTAGCTACCTCACATAAGTAGAATCATAGAGTATTTGTCCTTTTGTGTCTGTTTATTTCACTTAGCATGATGTTTTCAAGGTTTATCCTATGCTGTAACGTATCAGAGGTTCATTCCTTTTTTTTTTTTTTTTTTTTTTTTTTGAGACAGAGTTTCACTCTGTCACCCCAGGCTGGAGTGCAGTGGGGCAATCTCGGTTCACTGCAACCTCAGCCTCCTGGGTTCAAAGCAATTTGCGTGCCGCAGCCTCCCGAGTAGCTGGGACTACAGACGTGCATCACCATGCCTGGCTAATTTTTGTATTTTTAGTAGAAACGGGGTTTCACCATGTTGGCCAGGCCGGTCTCAAACCCCTGACCTCAGGTGATCCTCTTGCCTTGGCCTCCGAAAGTGCTGGGATTACAGGTGTGAGCCACCAAGCCCCACCTCACTCCTTTTTAAGGTTAAATAATATTCCATTGTATGTACAGTATATACCACATTTTATTTACCCATTCATTCTTCTGTGGACACTTGGCTTGCTTCCACCTCTTGGTCTCTGAGTCCCTTCCTTCAGTTGTTTTGGGTATACACCTAGAAGTGGGATTGCTGGATCATATAATTCTTTTTTCAAATAAATATTTAATTTTATTTAATTTTATTTTTTGTGGCAGGGTTTCACTCTGTCACCCAGGCTGGAAGGCAGTGGCTTGACCTCTGCTCACTGCAGCCTCCGTCTTCCAGGTCCAAGTGATTCTCCTGCCTCAGCCTCCCGAGTAGCTGGGACTACAGGCAGGCGCCACCACACCAGGCTAATTTTTGTATTTTTGGTAGAGACGGGGTTTCACCATGTTGGCCAGGCTGGTCTCGAACTCCTGACCTCAAGCAATCCACCCACCTTGGCCTCCCAAAGTGCTGAGATTACAGGTGTGAGCCACCGTGCCTGGCCTGGATCATATAATTCTATGCTTGATTGTTTCAGGAACTGACACACTGTTTTCTGCAGAGCCTGTACCATTTTATACTCAAGGAGTGGACTATTTTAAATCCATTCTAGTCCTCACGCCAAGGTTGCACAGCCAGCCTCCTGCCACCACACTGCTTCTCACTTCCAGTGGCCCACACCAGAGCTTGTTTGTTGCTTACTGCTAAATTTCGATTCCATCTGAAAGGTACTGAAACAAAACATGCCCTCTTACATAAAGGGCGGCGCCAAATCTTAAAGTAGCAGCTGGCTGGAGTTACCAGAGGACAGAATTATATTTAAATCCAACTCCTGTACTATAAATAGCCTCAGCTGCAGGTGGCGCTCCCTCTCTGGAAGGTCTTGGTTTTGCTCTGTCTAGAGGCAAAGGGTATAAAGCTCTTTCTTCTGAGATTTTTAGTCCCTTCCCTGCCCCCCATAAAGTCACGAAATTTGGAGGAGTTGACAGAAGGAATTAGAAGTTTCTGTTTGTGGAATCACTGCAGCAGTAGATAAGGAAAAACTATTCCTTGAAGCAAAACAACTTTTGAAACCAATTTGGCCTGAATCTCACAGAAGGAAACAAGTCCTGGGGGTCTGGTCAAAAAAACAAAACAAAACAAAAAAAACAAAAAAACTTCAAGTTAGAAACACTGAATCCAAACTAGAGGGTAAAAATCAGGATTCCATTAAACTACAGTTTGTAATAGTTAAAGAATAGTGTGGAGGAAACAGAAATATATCATTTTTTCACTATTAAATGTTAAAACGGGTTGGGCACAGTGGCTCACATCTGTAATAAAGTATGCAAAAATGTGTAAGCAAAAATAAAAGACTTTTGAAGATAACCACTGTAAATAGCTTTTAAAAATGCATATATGAGAAAATAGATAACTTTTTTTTTTTTTTGACATGCAGTCTCACTGTGTCACCAGGCTGGAGTGCAGTGGTGCGATCTTGGCTCACTGCAACCTCTGCCTCCCGGGTTCAAGCAATTCTCCTGCCTCAGCCTCTCAAGTAGCTGGAACTACAGGTGTGCGCCACCACGCCCAGCTAATTTTTTTTTGTATTTTTAGTAGAGACGGGGTTTCACCATGTTGGCCAGGATGGTCTCGATCTCTTGACCTTGTGATCCACCTGCCTCGGCCTCCTAAAGTGCTGGGATTACAGGTGTGAGCCACCACGCCCAGCCGAAAATAGATAATTTTATGTACTATTTTACAATCTGCTTCCCTCCTTAAAATATTTTATATTTGTTTTATGAAAATATAATACAATTACATCGTTCAAAAATAAAATAAACAAAAAAGAATATACAGTGAAAATGCTCCCTACCACGTGTGTCCCCTGTCAGCCCACTTCCCCCAAAGGGAGAGCCACAGGTAGATTCTCATACGTTTTGTGGCGCTCCTTGGGCATACGCAAGCAATAAGAATCTATTTTCTTCTAGTCCCCTTTTTACATAAAAGATAACACTGTTCTGTACCTTGCTATTTTATTTCAACAATATCTTGGAGGTCTTGTTTCTTGTTTCATAGAGAGCTGATCATAGCTGCATAGATTCCATTGAATCGCAGAACTGTAACCTGGTTACTCTTTGCTATTGCTGCTCCGATGAATACCTTGTACAAGCCTCACTTTGCATATATCTAAGTACATCTACAGGCAAATTGCCTGTGTAAATGCACTGTAATTTGGAGAGATGTTGCCAAATTGTCCCCTCTAGGGATTATGCCAATTTACACTAGTACCAGCAATGACTTAGAGTGTCTTGTTGCCCACAGCCTGGATTCAGAGTGTGTTTTTAATTTCTCCAATTTGATATTTGAAAAAGAAAAATGGCATCCAAGGGAAAAAAAAGTATCATGGTATAGTTTAAATTTGTGTTTCTCTTCTGAGTGAGGCTGAACATATTTTCATGTTTACAGGCCTTTTGCATATCTTTTTTGAGAACTGTCTGTTTATATCTTTTGCTCACTTTTCTATTGGGTTATTGGTCTTTTTCTTATCATTTTTTAGATCTCTTTATATGTTAGGAGAATACACATTTGTAATATGATTTGAAAAAAAAATCCCAGTTGATGTGTCTACTCTTTGCTTATAATGTGAGTGTGTTTTTGCCAAGTACATTTTCAAATGCAGTCTTTTAAAATTTTTAAATGCCGTTTGGATTTTAAATCACTATCAGAAAAGCAAAGGCTACAAACACATTCTCCAATGTTTTCTTCATTCTTCAAGGACTTACAGTTTCACGTTTACATTTAAATCTGTGACCCCTTTGGAATTTATCCTGATGTGAGGAGTAAGGTGTGGATCCAATTTTATTTTCATCTGCCTGGTTCCCAGCTGTCCCATTACCATTCACTGAATAATTCATTTCTCCTCATATCATCATAAAGAACAATCCTGAATGTATCTGCATGTATTTCTGGATTTTCTGTTCTGTTCCCTTGGTCAGTCTGTCTAATATGAACCACTACTATACTACTTTCATTACTGAAGTATTATAATATTTTTAATTAATTTACAGAGCTACTCTCCGTCCTCTGCCTCATTGCTCCTCCTTTCCAGAATTTTCCTGATAATTCTTATGCATTAATTTTTTATATTGTCTTTTTAATCATCTTCCTAATTTTTAAAAAGTCATTGGCACTTTCTTTGTTATTGTGTTAAACTTATAAATTAATTTATGGAAGATTTACATTTTAGGATGTTGAGTCTTTCTGGGCAAGACTACTATTTGTTGAAGCCTACTTTTGTACCCTTCTGTAGTGTTTTTACCTTTTCTTTAAGTGAGTTTGATGTATTTCTTGTTACTCTTTTCTTTTTTATCATTGTATTTTTCTTTTCTTTTTTTTTCTTTTATTTCCAAATCCCCAGAACCTGTGAACTGTGTTAAGTTTATTAAAAAGCATTTTATCTTTTATATTGCTCTTGTAGGTCCTTTTCTTCTATTATATCTTCTAACTGGTTGTCGAGTATTAGTTTCTATTTTTCCCTTTATTACATGTCTTGGACGTTTTCCATGTTCTTAGATATAGATTTACTTCATTTTATTCAATAATGTTTCGCCATTTGAATGTAAGGATCTTGAGATGGAAAGATTATCCTGGATTATCTGGGTGGGCCCTCAATGTAATCACAAGCGTCCTTATAAGAGGGAGATTCGACACACAAAGCAAAGCAACACTGAAGCAGGATGCTGCGCTGCTGGAGGACAGGAGCCAAGGGACGCAAGAAATGTGACTCCGGGAAATGGATGGGAAATGGATTCTGCAGAGACAGCAAGGCCCCGCCAACAACCGGATTTGGGCCCAGTGAAACTGAATTCGGACTTCTGACTTCCAGAACTGTAAGAGAGTAAACGTGTGTTGTTTCAGCCACCAAGTTTGTGGTAATCCGTCACAGCAGTCAGGGCCAATGGATACGCGGGTCTTTCATCCCTTTCGTGTATGCTGCATGGTACACCTAAAAACGCAGGCTCGGCCGGGCGGGGAGGCTGTTGCCTATAATCCCAGCACTTTGAGAGGCCGAGGCGGGCGGATCACGAGGTGAAGAGATCGAGACCATCTTGGCTAACACGGTGAAATCACGTCTCTACTAAAAATACAAACAATTAGCCGGGCGTGGTGGCATGTGCCTGTAGTCCCAGCTACTGGGGAGGCTGAGGCAGGAGAATCCCTTGAACCCGGGAAGCAGAGGTTGCAGTGAGCCGACATCGTGCCACTGCACTCCAGCCTGGGCAACAAGAGCGAAACTCCATCTCAAAACGAAGACAAAACAAACAAAAAAACGCAGACTCGGGCCTGATAGGAGAGTGGGAACCACAGACTATCAGGAAGGTTCTCTTCCCAAAGAGGGTAAATCTGTCATCAAATGTATTTAATATAAAGTCCCCAATAATACAGTACATTTTAGGCTCAACTTCCAATGATGCATTCCCAGGATTTTGTGTATTTTGTTTCTTTCCTTAACAACTAGAACGCAGTCTGCCAGGTCCTTTAGCTTAAAGCCAGTGAACACCCTGTTGTAGGTAAATCTTTTCTATTTGTCTCAATTATATGAAGTCTTAATAGTTATGCTTTCAGTATTCCCATTTCTCATAAGATAAATATTCCAAAAAAATGGTAAGAAGCCTTGCTCTACAGATGAGGATGTAACCACAATGGAAAGTGAGGCTGGCTGACAGGACCACTGTGTGATCCCTCCAAATAAGTATTTATCAGCATATGTTCAAAAACCTGAAGTCACCATGGAATGTAGCTATGAGATTTTACAGTTGAATGTAGTAAAGTTAAGGAACCTGAAGAAGGTTCCACGATTGGGGATGACATCCAAGTAGCAGTGATATAGGAGGCAGGACTTGACTCCAGAGGTGGGGCTTGGACTCTGGACCAGATTGAAGACTAGCTGAAACACGGAAGAGGTGAGAACACCACTCCATAAGACACGCCCACCAGTGCCATGTCAGTTTACCATTGCCATGGCAACACCCAGAAGTTACTACCCCTTTCCATGGCAACAACTCAACAACCCAGAAGTTACCAACCTTTTTCTAGAAATTGTTGCATATCCACCCCTTGCCACCAGCTTGCCCTTGAATTCTTTCTTGGGTGAAGCCAAGAACCCTCCCTGGCTAAGCCTCAATTTTGGGGCTCACCTGCCCTGCATCAGTGGAACCAGTGACAGTCACAGAGGACAGCCTACACCAAAGCTTGCATTGGCAAATTCTGGGTCTTTCCTGTTCATCCAGGTTTTCCATGGGTCCACACAGTGGAGCTGGGCATGTAAGGTGCTCAGGGAGTGCTAGTGGAATGTTACGATGCCACATTCCAGGGAAGCTCTTGACCACCCCACAGAGCTGGGATGATCTCATTTTTAATCCAGAACAGGTACCCTGAGAGCTGCAGAAAGTTGGTGAATCACCTGTGGAGACTCAGCTGCCTCTGGACCCAACTTGGATGCAGAAGTGCTAGACCTTGAGTTGATGCCATAATGGGAAGAGCCTTGTGTTTTCATGTGGTTGGAATGTGAGTTGTGGTCAGAGGGCAGGCTGTGGCGTATTGTATTTTCTAAAGATGGCCACAACAGGCTGGGTGCAGTGGCTCATGCCTGTAATCCCAGCACTTTGGGAGGCCGAAGTGGGTGGATCACAAGGTCAGGAGATCGAGACCATCCTGGCCAACATGGTGAAATCCCATTTCTACTAAAATACAAAAAATTAGCCGGGCGTGGTGGCCTGCACCTGTAGTCCCAGCTACAGTCCTTGTCATCTAGGTTAAACTGGCTACACCCTCAGCCTGGTGTGAGCCAGGCCCTGCCAATCCATCACCTTGCCTGGTGACTGTGATGGGCTCGGGAGTGGACATCCGACCAAAAGCAGGCCAGTTAGTCAAGAGACTCAATTCTTGGCCGGGTGCAGTGGCTCATACCTGTAATCCCAGCACTTCGGGAGGCCTAGGCGGGTGGATCACCTGAGGCCAGAAGTTCAAGACCAGCCTGGTCAACATGGTGAAACTCCATCTCTACTAAAAATACAAAAAATCAGCCGGGCATTGTGGCGGGTGCCTGTAGTCCCAGCTACTCAGGAGGCTGAGGCGGGAGAATCCCTTGAACCTGGGAGGCGGAGGTTGCAGTGAGCCAAGATCCTGCCATTGCACTCCAGCCTGGACAAAGGAGTGAAACTCCGTCTCAAAAAAATAAATAAATAAATAAAAAGAGACTCAATTCTTGGATTTTTGTGGAAGCCATTAGGTAAGTGGGGTCTTTGCTGGTTGGATTTAAGTCTGGGAGGATGAAGGACAGCACTGTTGCAGCCGTTTTGCCACAATGAGGGGAGGGCCTTTGGGAGGATAAAGCCCAGCATAGAAGAGAGCAAAGCCTGAGGCCTGCGGCGTCTATGCCTGAATCCAGCTGTGCCTGAAGGTAGCGCTGTAGCTCAGGTTTCCAGTTACAAGAACCCATTCAACCTTTCTGCCTTAGCCTGGTTAGCATTGTGGTCCTACTGAACGTACCATTCAGGAGAATCACGTTTAAAAGTGGCACAAGACAAAGACATGAATCTGAATACCTTCAGACTGGGATTACAGGCACGTGCTAATTTTTGTATTTTTAGTAGAGACGGGGTTTCGCCATATTGGCCAGGCTGGTCTCGAACTCCTGACCTCAGGTGATCCACCCGCCTCGGCCTCCCAGAGTGCTCGGATTACAGCCGTGAGCCACCGCGCCCGGCCTCATTTTAGCCATTTTTAAGTGTACAGTTTAGTGGCATTAAGTACAGCCAAAATTTTTGTGTAACCATCACCACTACACCTGAAACTCTTCACCATCTCCAACAAAAGCTCTGTACCCATTAAACAACGACGGCCCCTCTAGTCTACTTTCTCCTGTATGAATTTACCTATTCTAAGTACCTCGTAGAGGTGGAATCATACAGGATTTGTCCTTCCGTATTTGGCTTATTTCACTCAGGGTAATGTTTTCAGGGTCCACCCACATTATAGCATGTGTAAGAATTTCATTCCTGTTAGAGGCTGAATAATACTCCATTGCATGGATGTACCACATTTTGGACACCAAGTTTTTTATTGTGAATGCAAGATTCTGGCATTAATGTTATTGAGGGTATTAATTTGAATATTTTAAGTACATTCTTGTACTTATAATTCGTGTACTCCATTCCGTTTGTTTGTTTGTTTGTTTGTTTTTTGTTTTTGAGACGGAGTCTCGCTCTGCCGCCCAGGCTGGAGTGCAGTGGCGCTATCTCGGCTCACTGCAAGCTCCGCCTCCCGGGTTCACGCCATTCTCCTGCCTCAGCCTCCCGAGTAGCTGGGACTACAGGCGCCCGCCACCAAGCCCGGCTCATTTTTTGTATTTTTAGTAGAGACGGGGTTTCACCGTGTTCGCCAGGATGCTCTCGATCTCTTGACCTCGTGATCCGCCCGCCTCGGCCTCCCAAAGTGCTGGGATTACAGGCGTTAGCCACCGCGCCCGGCCCGTGTACTCTATTCTTTAGCGGATTGCCCTTCTTTAACCACCTTTTTCAGGAGGCGGTAGGGCCTTACTTCGGGGTGATTGTCCGTTGACTCTTCACCCTGGGGAGTGGAGCTGGAGGCTGACGCGCTTGGAGGCTGGTGTGGGCTCCCTGGTCGTCCGCATGGATCATCTTTTGCTGCCTCCCCTCTCCTCTTCCGCCGACCCCCTCAGCTACCCCGTCTTGGTGCTAAGTGGATGCAGATGAGACAACGGGCACGTTTCCCTGCAGGGACCGGCTTAGCCGCCAGGGGGAGCCCCAAGGATAAGGCGCGAGGCGGCCGGGGCTCAGGTTGCGCAGGCACCGAGGGCACCTGGGCTCTTCCGCCCCCTGCTCTGTGAAGGCCAGGGTGCGGCAGGGCCACCCTCCCCGGAGTCTCTCTTCTTCTGGCCGCAGCGGGTAGACCGCAGAGTGGTCCGGGTGCAGCGGCGCCCGGGCAGCTGCGGAAGTGGCAGGGTTGGGGTGGCGGCTGGAGCGCCACGCGCGTTCCCTCTCCCGCTTCCGCACCCGCTTCTGCACCAGCCTCGGGCAGTCAGTCCCCCGGTGGTTTAGTGATGGAGGAAGCGAGGCGCGATCGGGCGGCGCTGGACATTCCTCAGCCCTGAAACCCTGATGCCCGGGGCCCGCTGCTTAGAGCTGGGGCTGGGCGGAGCTCTACTGGGGAGACCTTTCCACCTTCCTTTAGGGAGCCCCTCCTTTGCGCTGGGTGCTCAGCTCAGCACTGCGTGACTTTGCTCTCAACGAAGAACACATTTCCTCAAATTCCTCAGATTTTCAGTTCTGTTAGTAACATTCTCTCCAGCTTTATCATTTGCTGGAACAGATTTTTTTTTTTCCGAGACCGAGTTTCGCTCTTGTTACCCATGCTGGAGTGCAATAGCGCGATTTCGGCTCACTGCAACCTCCGCCATGCGCTAGCATGCCCGGCTAATTTTGCATTTTTTTTTTTCAGTAGAGACGAGGTTTCACCATGTTGGTCAGGCTGGTCTCGAACTCCTGACCTCAGGTGATCACCCACCTCGGCCTCCCAAAGTGCTGGGATTACAGGCGTGAGCCACCGCTCCAGGTCGGAACAGTTCATTTTTTAAACTGTCATACAATTACTTCTTTCTGATCATTTCCATGACGTGTGGGGAGAAAAGAGACAATTGTGGGGTACAATCCTTGAAACCAGAAATCAATGAAGTTATACTTGACCGGATTTTAACATTCTTCCGCATTATGGTTTTGTGTTTCCTCCTTTCTTCTTGTCTCTTTTTTGATAATTATAAACATTGATTCCTGGCTGGGCACAGTGGTTCCTGCCTGTAATCACCAGCATTTTGGGAGGCCAAGGCGGGAGGATCATTGAACCCAGGAGGTCGAGACGGCAGTGAACCTGATCACACCACTGCACTCCAGCCTGAGCAATAGAGCGAGACCCTATCTCAAAAAGAAAAAAAAAAGAGTCCTAATGATCTAGCACATTCTACATTCACTGCTTGATTCTGGGACATGTTTCGTTGGGGATTATAGTTCTGAATTACAAAGTATTACCGGAATGGGCTGTGATCAGGATTATAAATAGCAGCAATTACATGCTTTTTGAACTAGAAAAGATGTTCTAAATTGACCTAGATATATACAGACTATTGGGACACGTGGTGGATAAAAATTAAGGCCTAGTAGCTGGACTCTAAAAAACAATGTTTTCCACCAGGGGGAGCTGTAGACTATGTCTGAAGGTATTCAGATTCATGTCTTTGTCTTGTGCCACTTTTAAACGTGATTCTCCTGAATGGTACGTTCAGTGGGACCACAATACTAACCAGGCTAAGGCAGAAAGGTTGAATGGGTTCTTGTAACTGGAAACCTGAGCTACAGCGCTACCTTCAGGCACAGCTGGATTCAGGCATAGATGCCGCAGGCCTCAGGCTTTGCTCTCTTCTATGCTGGGCTTTATCCTCCCAAAGGCCCTCCCCTCATTGTGGCAAAACGGCTGCAACAGTGCTGTCCTTCATCCTCCCAGACTTAAATCCAACCAGCAAAGACCCCACTTACCTAATGGCTTCCACAAAAATCCAAGAGTCTCTTGACTAACTGGCCTGCCTTTGGTCGGATGTCCACTCCCGAGTCCATCTCAGTCACCAGGCAAGGTGATGGATTGGCAGGGCCTGGCTCACACCAGGCTGAGGGTGTAGCCAGTTTAACCTAGATGACAAGGACTGAGGGGGACAGGGAGAGGTCTAGAGGCAAAATCAGGCTCTGCTGCTGGAAGTGGGTGAATGGGTGCTGGTGCTGCCCTCAGAAAACATACAGAGAAGGAGGCCGGGTGTGGAGGCTCACACCTGTAATCTCCGCGCTTTGGGAGACTGAGGTGGGCAGATCATCTGAGGTCGGGAGTTTGAGTTCAGCCTGGACAACATGGTGAAACCCCATCTCTACTAAAAATTAGCCAGGTGTGGTGCAGGTGCCTGTAATCCCAGCTACCCAGGAGGCTGAGGCAGGAGAATCGCTTGAACCTGGGAGGCGGAGATTGCAGTGAGCTGAGATCGTGCCATTGTACTCCAGCCTGGGCGACAGAGCGAGACTCTGTCTCCAAATAGAATAAAATAAAGTAAAATAAACCGTACAGAGAAGGAGAAGGTGACAACGTAAGGCAGATGGAATGCACCATCGGGAGGTGGGGGCGCGACAAGGGATGCAGAGCATAGACTACGGGATCAGCTCCACACAGGAGAAGGGACCTCTTAGCTGGCCGTTGTGCTGGGTAGGCAGCCTGAATTAGTGACTTCAGAGGGGAGGCAGCTCTGGGAGATGACACAGTGGGGGTTTGGTCCTGTGACGTCATGGCTGAAGGAGGTAGAGGAGAAGCATGTGACACGAGGAGTTCGGGGCGCTCAGAGGCCAAGCTGATGGCTGGATTGATCTTGGGGATGGTGAAGTCACCAGAATGAGAAGACTGGGAGCTGATGGAGAAGAGGGTGTGCCCACTGCTCAGTGAATGATGGCATTCACCAGGGATGGGGGCGGGGTGGAAGAGGTGAGTGGCATGGCCCTCAAGGAACCACTGGGAATGAGGACACTGACCCCAAACCTCTCAACTCTGGGGTGTGTGGCGTCTGGGAGGAGCCTGTGAGCAGAGCCAGATCTTGAGTAAAGAAGGAGGTGGAGGGAGAATCCTGTGAATAGGATGTTAAGAATGCAGGAGAAACTGAATTAAACAGGACGGATTAAGCAGATCTATTTATCTCTTCACCCTCCCCAAACCCCACTAAAATTACAATAAAGGGATAAAAAAGGCATAAACCCACAAGGACAAGAAGAGCGGGGGAGGAAATGAGCACAGACAGGAGAACTCAGCATTCTGGAAAGCAGGGGGAGAGTGGAGAGTGATGACTGACTTGGCAGAGCAGAGGGAGCTCAAATCCAAGCGCTGGCGGGTGGGGGTGGACATCAAAAACCAGCAGAATCCGGGAAGCCTGAGGGATTGGAAATATCAGGTGTTTTGTCTATTTACTGGTAGGAAATAAAATACTCCCCAATGTTGCATGGCTTGAAGCAATGCCAGTTGTAACTTCATGATTCTGTGGACCCAGTGGCTTCACCAGGCGGCCCTGCTCCACGTGATGCTGGCCGGGGTATGGGGCTGGTAGCTGGTGTTGCTATCCTCCAGCAAGTTGGTGAGGGCTGTGAGTTGAGGACCTCTGTACTTCTCTATGTAGTGATTCCATGGCTTGGGCTTCTCAGAGCATGGTAGCATAGAAATTAGCTTTGGTTAGTTAAATCCAGTTCTTCCTTAGGGCCATTTTCCCAATACATTTGATCATCAATATCAGTATTATCACATGACCTGTTTATGTAAGATAGTTGAATCTTAGCAACAAGGTGAGTGTTAACGCTATATCACAATATGGCTGTAGATATAACCTGAAAAATAATAGTCAAAAGATAATGGCATATTACCAGAGTCTTAGACATTAACAGGGAGTCCCGTCCATCTGGAGTAATCATAGCATATGACCAGAATGTCTCCCAGAGCGATGCCACTAGGGCTTGCAGACTTCCTTTTGGCTTTGTCAGGTTTCAAAAGCAGGAGTGATCTTGGCATTAGATGGCTTCACCCTTTCAGACATCCTGTATAATTTCTTTTTTTTTTGAGATGGAGTTTTGATTCTCCTGCCTCAGCCTCCCGAGTAGCTGGGATTACAGGCACCCGCCGCCACCACACCCGTCTAATTTTTGTATTTTTAGTAGAGACGGGGTTTCACCATGTTGGCCAGGCTGATCTCGAACTCCTGACCTCAGGTGATCCACCTGCCTTGGCCTCCCAAAATGCTGGGATTACAGGCATGAGCCACCGCACCTGGCCCATCCTGTATGATTAAGCTAAGGGAAAATATAATCTCTTGCTCTGAGCCCCTCTCAAGGCATCAATGTAATATTGATGTAATATGTGATGTCCCCTCATTGTAACCCACTCATTCTTTATACTCAGCTACTATTTCTCCTTCCCTTCAGTTATATCTAAACTTTCCACTTATTTATTTATTTATTTATTTATTTTTTGAGACATGGTCTCACTCTGTCACCCAGGCTGGAGTGCAGCGATACAATCACAGCTCACTGCAACCTCAACTTCCCACGCTCAAGCCGTCCTCCTGCCTCTCAGTCTCCCAAGTAGATAGGACTACGGGTGCATGCCACCATATTCCAGTTAGTTTTAAAATAGTTTTTTGTTTATGTTTTTGGTAGAGACAAGGTCTCAAGGTGGGGTAATCTGTCTAGTGGGGGCCTTCCTTGACTCCCTCATGTTGAGTGTAAACATGAAGGCATGTAAGCCAGCCTTTTATTCCTTTATCTCCCCTGATTTTGAACAGCAAATGTTTCAAATGTCTGTTCCAGTTCCTATCAAACCATGATTTGAGGTTTAAAATGTGTTCCTTGGATGGAACACATTTCTCTGAGGATGAAAATGTGTTCCTTGGTCTGAAGAAATGTGACTCAACAGTCCAAATTGGTGCAGTATTTTCTGTTTCAATTCTTTTATAGTATTTTGAGCATTTGCATCTACTGCTGGGAATGCAAAGCCTAGTCCCAGAGTGTCTGTTCCTTTTAGGAACCATTTGTAGCCCCCCAGGGCTGGCAGCATCAGTCCAGTTTGCCAGCTATATGTGGGACCTTCTCCGTGGAGACCTTCTCCATAGTTATCTGCAGTCTCTGTCTCTCTTGTTGATAGACAGTATGACTCTCGTAGGCATTTTGTGCCTGAGAGGGTGCAAGAGGAACATGTCTAGATCCAGCTTATGTCTGCATGGCTACGGGTCCCCCGTGTCCATTAAATGAATGGCCACCTCAGGCCACCTGAGGTGGCCACCTCAAACAAGGATATTGCAGATTCCAATCTCCTTCCAGTCCTAGAAGGGGCTACTTCTGAGGATCATTGTTATGTCTGATTTTAATACATCCCTTAAATTCCCATGGTGGTTTCCATGGGCCCATGCCCCATATGAGGATCCCTTCAATAGTCCAGTCACCATTGTTCTACCGGATGCCATGGCCTGGCCATTAGCTATACCCATGAACTGGTAAAAACCCAAACAGGGGCCAGGCGTGGTGGCTCACCCAGCACTTTGGGAGGCCGAGGCGGGCAGATCACCTGAGGTCGGGAGTTCGAGACCAGCCTGACCAACGTGGAGAAACCCCATCTCTACTAAAAATACAAAATCAGCCAGGTGTGGTGGTGCATGCCTCTAGTCCCAGCTCCTCGGGAGGCTGAGGCAGGAGAATCACTTGAACCTGGAGGCGGAGGTTGAGCTGAGATCACACCACTGCGCTCCAGCCTGGGTGACAGAGCGAGACTCCATCTCAAAAACAAAAACAAAAACAAAAAACAAAAAAACACACCCCAAACAGGGAGTCAAACAGCATGCACTTCAGCCCACACAGCTGATTTGTTTTTATCTTCTTTAATTAGCGTGGTGGTCTTCCAAACAGGATGCTATCTGTTCACCTGGGAACTGCCATCCACAAATCAAGAAGCTTTTTGTTGGTCAATAGACAGCTGTTCCTAGGGCACCGCTTAAGTGACTCAAGTGGCTATAGCACCCAGCAGCATCCCAGGAGGTTCCAAAGTGGATTCTGAAACCGCCATTGCAAAATTGTAACTGAGGCCAGGTGCGGTGGCTCATGCCTGTAATCCCAGCACTTTAGGAGGGCCAAGGCAGACAGATTATTTGAGGTCAGGAGTTTGAGACCAGCCCGACCAACATGGTTAAACCCCGTCTCTACTAAAAATACAAAAACATTAGCTGGGCATGGTGGCGCATGCCAGCTACTCAGGAGGCTGAGGTAGGACAGTCGCTTGAAGCCGGGAGGCAGAGGTTGCACTGAGCCAAGATCGCTCCACTGCACTCCAGCCTGGATGATAGAGTGAGATTGAAAAAAACAATTATAACTGAGATGGTGAAAGAGATCTGACCTAACCAACTCCATCTTGCTTCTAACCTCCAACCTGTGCTTGTTCATTCCAGGGCAGAGGCCAGACTAATTCTGGAAGGAACTTATTTTTTAGTTTATAGTTTAAAACAAAGATGATAACATCCCTTTCCCAAAACAAACCCCCTTCTTGCCTGGGGACTAGACTGCCTTTGTAAGACTAACAAATTAGCCAAAAGATCAGAAATTATGGTTTAGGAGGAATTCAGCTGGTGGCTATAAGATTCTGACCCTCCCCAAATTGCTCCTGGGGATATCACCGTTGTAAAACCTACGATCAGTGCTTGAGATATTTCGGTAAACTAGCTCATCTAATCTTACGGTCCCCACCAAAGAACTGACTCAGCACAAGAGAACAGCCTGGACTCCCTACGGTTTCATCCCCCATCCAACCAATCAGCACTCTTGACCCGCGGGCCCCACACCCACCAAATTATCCTTAAAAACTCTGATTCCCGAATGCTCAGGGAGACTGATTTGAGTAATAATAAAACTCCAGTCTCCCACACAGCCAGCTCTGCAAAAACTCCTCTTTCTCTATTGCAATTCTCTTGTCTTGATAAATCAGCTCTGTCTAGGCAAGGGCAAGGTGAACCCGCTGGGCAGCTACAATTCTAGGGGTAAAGAGACTACCTGCTCATGAGTAATCCTCACATCTCCCTGGTAGCATGTTCCTGTATACACCATTTCCATTTGTTATGGAGCTCTTCTGGGCACTTTCCGCTCCATTACAGTGTTTCTTCAATTTTATTTATTTATTTTTTTAGAGGGAGTCTCGCTCTGTTGCCAGGCTGAAGTGTAATGGCGCCATCTTGGCTCACTGCAACCTCCGCCTCCCAGGTTCAAGTGATTCTCCTGCCTCAGCCTCCTGAGTAGCTGGGATTACAGGCGCCCGCCACTATGGCCTGCTTATTTTTATTTTTACTTTTTTTTTTTTTTTTTTTTTTTGTATTTTTAGTAGAGACAGGGTTTCTCCATGTTGGCCAGGCTGGTCTCGAACTCCTGACCTCAAGTGATTCTGCCCACCTCGGCCTCCCAAAGTGCTGGGATTACAGGCGTGAGCCACCACGCCTGGCCATGTGTCTCCAAAATTGCCCGCGACATTATGGCTCTGTCAGGTTTCAAGATTATTTTATGTCTTTAGTCATAGTGGCCATTTCAATTAATGTTCAATAGCAAGCTAGTTAATTGTCTCTCAAGTGGAAATTTTTTGGTTCAAAATCCCAGTGGTCACTGCTGGGTGGCGCTTTTGCTACAGCCCAAGTCTGCATTCCACACAGGGCTATTGTACAGAGACTCTGTCTACACCAGCACGCCAGCTCCTGACAGGGCATTAATGAAAGTGTTAATCTGTCTGTGTCCATCAAGTATTCTACACTGTTTCAAATTAACAACCTTTGTGGGCTTAGGCCATTTTATTGGTCAAGCCATTTAGTAAGATCAATCAATATTGGCAGAAGGGCAGATTTACATGCCTTCTGTTTTACTAGGCACTTTGTAGGACTAGCAAATTAGCCAAAAGATTAGAAATCATGGTTTAGGAGTCATGCAACTGGAGGCCACAAGATTCTGACCCTCCCTAAATTGCCCCTGGGAATAACATCACTATTGTGAACCCTAAGATCAGTGCTTGAGATATTTTGCAGACCCTGCACTCGATGGATCAGCTGGCACCACCTAGATCGATAAACTGACTTATCTGATCCTATGGCCCCCGCCCTGGAACTAACTCAGCGTAAGACAGCTTCCACTTCCTATGATTTCATCTCTGACCCAACTAGTCAGCATTCGTGACTCACTGGCTGCCTCCTACCCACCAAATTGTCCTTAAAAACTCTGATCCCCAAAGGCAGGGAGACTGATATGAGTAAATAATAAAACTCGGGTCTCCTGCACAGCCGGCTCTGAGTGAATTACTCTTTCTCTATTACAATTCCCAGTCTTGATAAATTGTCTGTGTCTAGGCAGCGGGCAAGGTGAACCCACTGGGCAGTTACAACACGGCTGACCTTCAGTGTCCAGCTCTTCTGGAGATCAGGCTGATACCTGGAGTCTCCAGTTCCTCCAGTGGCAGAACTAATACCACCACCTCCACCACAAGCCCCCATCCTAAATTACATTGTGAGACTGCTTCTTCATTATGGAGGTAGGCAAAATATTCATAAACAGAACAACAAAGAAAAGCATGAGCCATTTAAAAAAATCTGGTAAAATGTACTTTATCAAAATGAAAAACTTCTGCTCTTCAAAAGACACCATTAAGAAAATGCAAGCGTGGTGGCTAGCAGCTGTAATCCTAGCATTTTGAGAGGCTGAGGAGGATCACTTGAGCCCAGGAGTTTGAGACTAGCCTGGCCAACATGGCAAAACCCCTGTTTCTACCAAAAATACAAAAATTAGCTGGTGTGGTAGCAGGAACCTGTAGTCTGAGGTGAGAGAATCACCTAAACCTCGGAAGACTGAGGCTGTAGTGAGCCATGATTGTGCCACTGCACCCCCGCCTGGGTGACAGAGTAAGAACCTGTCACAAAAAAAAAAAAGAAAAAGAAAATGAAACGACAAGCCAGGAACAGGGAGAAAATATAAAATATTACTAATTTTTTTATTCTTTGAGACGAGGTCTCACTTTGTCACCCAGGCTGGAGTGCAGTGGTGTGATCACAGCTCACTGCAGCCTTGAACTCCTGGTCTCAAGTTATCCTCCCAACTCAGCCTCTGGAGTAGCTGGGACTACAGGCACGCGCTGCCATGTCTGGGTAATTTTTCTGGGATTTTTAGTGGAGACGAGGTTTTACCATATTTCCTAGGCTGGTCTCGAACTCCTCAGCTCAAGCAATCTGCCTGCCTGAAGCCTCCCAAAGTGCTGGGATTATAGGCGTGAGCCACTGTGCCCCACCAGAAAATATTTTTATATGTATATTTAACAAAGGCTTGTATCCAGAATATATAAATAACTCTTACAACTCAATAATAAGAAGGCAAACAGCCCAAATAAACAATTGGCAAAACATTTGAATAGACTCTTTCCTCACAAAAGAAGATATGAATGGTCAGTAACCACATGAAAAAATGTTCAACATCATTAGTCAACAGGGAAATGCAAAATCAAACCACACACAGATAATAACACTATACCTATCACAATAGCTAAAATTTAAAAGTCTGACAAAACCAAGTGTTAGAGAGGATATGGAGCAACTGGAATTCTCATTCATTGCTTGTAGGAAAATAAAATGGCCCAACCAGTTTGGCAAACAGTTTGACAGCTTCTTTAAAAGTTAAACAGGCTATGGCTGGGCGCAGTAGCTCACACCTATAATCTCAGCACTTTGGGAGGCCGAGGTGGGAGAATCACTGGAGGTCAGGAGTTAGAGACCAGCCTGGCCAACATGGTGAAACCCCGCCTCTACTAAAAATACAAAAATTGGCTGGGCATGGTGGCACACTCCTGTAATCCCAGCTACTTAGGAGGCTGAGGTAGGAGAATCACTTGAACCCGGGAGGCGGGGGTTGCAGTGAGCCGAGATTGTGCCACTGCACTCCAGCCTGGGCAACAAGGCAAGACTCCATCTCAAAAAAAAAAAAAGTTAAACAGGTTGGATGCGGTGGCTCACACCTGTAATCCAGCCCTTTGGGAGGCCGAGGAGGGTGGATCACTTGAGCCTGGGAGGTTGAGACCAGCCATGGGCAACATGGTGAAACCCCATCTCTGCAAAGAATACAAAAATTAGCTGGTGTGGTGGCTTGTGCCTGTAGTCCCAGCTACTAGAGAGGCTGAGGTGGGAGGATCACTTGAGCCGGAGTGGTCGAGGCTGCAATTAGCTGTGATTGCACCACTGTACCCCAGCCTGAGCCACAGAGCGAGACCCTGTCTCAAAAAAACAACAACAAAAAAAGTTTAACATATTAGACATACAGCTACCATTAATTCAACAGTTTTACTCTTAGGTATTTATCCAAGAGAAAAGAAAATATATGTCCATACAAAGACATCAAAGGACATAGTAGCTTTCTCTGCACAAAGAATGTTCATAGCAGTTTTACTTGTAATAGATGAAACTGGAAACAATCCAATGTTTAAATACATGAATGGATAAATAAACTGTGGTGTATCTATATATACTGGACTGGAGTGCTACTTGGCAACAAAAAAGAATGAACTATTGATACATGTAACAACATTAACGAATCTCAGAATAATTATACTGAGTAATGGTGATAGGTTCATGGGCATGTATATATGTCAAAATTTATCAGATGGTACACTTTGATTATGTGCAGTTTATTGTATGTCAATTATATCTCAACAAAGATGTTGTTAAAAATGAATGAATTATTGATACATACAACAATATGGATTAATCTCAGAAACGTCATGCTGAGTGAAAGAAGCCAGACTCAAAAGACAGCTGTGTGATTTCATTTAGATAAAACCCTAGAAAAGACTAATCTTATCTAATCTCTAGTAACAAAAAACAGAAAGTTTGTCTGGAGCTGGGGATGGAGTAGAGGTGAAGATTGATTGGGGTAGCGCCCTGATTTTTTTGGAGCAATGGAAAAGTCCCATATCTTCATTGTGGTGGTTGTTACTCAGGGGCATAAAATTTATCAAAACCCAGCCAGGCACGGTGGCTCACCCCTGTAGTCCCAGCACTTTGGGAGGCCGAGGCAGGCGGATCACAAGGTCAGGAGATCGAGACCATCCTGGCTAACACAGTGAAACCCCGTCTCTACTAAAAATACAAACAATTAGCAGGGTGTGGTGCCGGGCACCTGTAGTCCCAGCTACTTGGGAGGCTCAGGCAGGAGAATGGCATGAACCCGGGAGGCGGAGCTTGCAGTGAGCCGAGATCGCGCCACTGCACTCCAGCCTAGGCGACAGTGTGAGACTCCATCTCAAAAAAAAAAAAAAATCATCAAAACCCGTCAAAATGTACACTTAAAACGGGTGCATCTTACAGTGGGTAAATTACACTTCAATAAAATGATTTTTTTAAATAGTGATGGGGTTTTGCCATGTTGCCCAGGCTGGTCTTGAACCCCTGCACTCAAGCAATCTGCCTGCCTTGGCTTCCCAAAGTGCTGGGATTACAGGCATGAGTCACCACATCTGGCCAATAAAATGATTTTTAATAATTACCTACAAATATTGTTTCCCAGGTAGCTAGTGGAGAATGTGCCCTACCAAAACCAGAGATTAAACCAAGAAAGAAGAAGATACGAATTTAAGAAACAGGCGATCCAATCCAGAAGCTAAAGGAATTTCTGCAACGATGACGAAAAGAAATCCTAAAATAATATGTGTACAAAAGACCTAGACAACAGAAACTTTCAGATTGGAGATGACAGAGAACTCCAGAAAGCAGGTTTTTTTTTTTTTTAAAGAGACGAGGTCTTGCTTTGTCGCTCAGGCTAGACTACAGTGGTGCCCAGGCTGGAGTGCAGTGGCACAATCATAGCTCATTGCAGCCTCAAACTGCTGGGCTTAAGCTAACCTCCCACCTCAGCCTCCCAAGTAGCTGGGACTACAGGTGTGCACCACCAAGCTTGGCTAATTTTTTTTTTTTTTTTTTGAGACAGAGTCTCACTCTGTTGCCCCGGCTGGAGTGCAGTGGCACGATCTTGGCTCACTGCAAGCTCCGCCTCCCAGGTTCACGCCATTCTCCTGCCTCAACCTCCCGAATAGCTGGAACTACAGGTGCCCACCACCATGCCCGACCAATTTTTTTTTGTATTTTTAGTAGACACGGGGTTTCACCGTGTTAGCCAGGATGGTCTGATTTCCTGACATTGTGATCTGCCCACCTCGGCCTCCCAAAGTGCTGGGATTACAGGCCTGAGCCACTGCGCCCGGCCCCATGCTTGGCTAATTTTAAAAATTTTTTGTAGAGACAGGGTCTTGCTATATTGCCCAGGCTGGCCTGGAACTTCTGGACTCAAGAGATCTTCCCAGGTAGCTGGGACTACAAGAATGTGCCACTTTGCCCAGCCAGAATACAATTTATTATTTGATGTGTTTTACCATGTGGAAAATTATAATGAGAGGTTGTAGGAGGATGTGGGAAAGAACTAATGATAGGTACATAGACAACCAAGCAAACTGAGCAAATTGCCTAGTAATTACTAAGCAATTACTAACTCCTAGAAACTAAAAATGATGAAAAACAAAAGAAACACAACCACAGAACACGTAACTACTGAATATATAAACGCGATAGTAGAAATCGTGTAAACATGTAATATTGACTTACCTGAAAATTAAAACTAAACTGGAAGAAAAAGGAGAGGGAAATCTGTGTTGTGTACACGTGTGCTTGCTTGCATGTATGTGTACAAGAAATTGCCCGTGTCATGTTAGGAAGTCTACAGATCATTTTTAAAATGGACAAATAAAAAATAGCAGCTCTTGCTTATTATTTAAAATTCAAAAAACAGTCGGGGCCTGATGGCTCACACTTGTAATCCCATCACTTTGGGAGGCTGAAGCAGGCGTATCTCCTGAGGTCAGGAGTTCAAGACCAGCCTGACCAACATGACTAAACCCTGTCTCTATAAAAACACAAAAATTAGCTGGGAGTGCTGGTGCGTGCCTGTAATCCCAACTACTTGGGAGGCTGAGGCAGGAGAGTCGCTTGAAGCCAGGAGGCGGAGGTTGCAGTGAACCAAGATTGTGCCACTGCACTCCATCCTGGCGACAGGGCAAGACTCTGTCTCAAAAACAAAACACGAACAAACAAACAAACAAGAAAAGAAAAAGAAAATACCAGAAGTAGCAACTAAAAGAGACTTCCCTGTGCAAGGTGGGCTGGCGCTGGAGGGGTGTGGTGTGGTAGAGCGGCTGGTTTCACCTTGAACCTTTAAGTACATTTGATGATTCTAACTATGTGAATGCTTCACTTGGCTAAATATAGAATTAATGTTTTACTATATGTGGAGAACTTTGTTTGCCTTGGGCAGGATTCCAGAGGCCACAGCATAAAAGTTGGGAAGAGACAGGTGTAATGGTGGGGAGCTTGGGGGCAAGTAGTAGGAGGAGAGTAGGAGACAGAAGTCTTGAATGAATGGGGCTTGCATCTGCTCTGAGCCCGCCGTGAGGTCAGCAATGAATCCTAATCAAGGGAAATGGAGACAACCGTGGAGTTTGAGACTCAGAAAGACCCTCAAAGAACAGTAGGTTTTACACAGAGGAGGGGCTTTCTCACTCTTGAAATCCTCAGTGATACTCAGGCGTTGCCAGCCCACAGGGATGGCAGCTGAAAGAGAGGACAGACAGGCTCTCAAAGCAAATGCAAGACCTCAGAAAGAAGAGCAATCTATTAGTGTGAGGGGCAAAGGCCTTACCTTCCTCCTGCAGGAGTCCCTGGGGACTGTCGCCTGTGCCACAGTCCTGGAAACTTTTATAATGATGGCACTGAGTCACTGGGAAAGTTAAATTACGTTCAGTGGGCTCTGCTTTGGAAGGAAGGCTTTTAGAAATATTTCCATTAAGAGTGGTTTAATGGCCGGGCACAGTGGCTCATGCCTGTAATCCTAGCACTTTGGGAGGCCAAGGCAGGCGGATCACAAGATCAGGAGATCCAGACCATCCAAGCCAACGTGGTGAAACCCCATCTGTACCAAAATGCAAAAAATTAGCTGGGGCGTGGTGGTGCACACCTGTAGTTCCAGCTTCTCAGGAGGCTGAGGCAGGGGAATTGTTTGAACCCGGGAGGCAGAGATCGCAGTGAACTGAGATCGCGCCACTGCACTTCAGCCTGGCAACAGAGCAAGACTCTGTCTCAAAAAAAAAAAAAAGAGGTTTAAATTATTTAAAATGCGTAGCCCTTGGTTACCTTGCCAGTCTTGCTTCTTCCCCTACTTCCCTGAGGAGTGCTCTCTTCCCCCTTTTCCCTCAGGGGATGAACTGTCTTCTCTGGCTTCATAGGCCTCCCCAGCCTTTCTGGGACTGGAAGGATCACCTCGGTGTTATGGGCCCTCACTGGCCCCGCGAGTCCTAAATGACCAAGGTGCTGGAGCTAAATCTCATGCAGAACCTGTAACCCACACGGCTACAGGGTGATCAGTTGTCCGGAGGGTACGAGGCTTCTGGATGGCTATAATCACAAAAAGCAACCACTTCCCTCACCCAAATGGTGCTGCCTCTTCAGCAATAAAGACGTACTTCGGAAGAGCTACTTTTCTTAGAAATTGAAGAAATCTGGGCTCCAGAGATTATTTTCACACTATTCACTATAAGTCCTTAGGCAAGGGAATTAATTCTCCACTCCCATCTTAGTTTCCCTCAACTATGTAAACAAATGAAAATACAGAACTGGATTTTTTTTTTTTTTTTTTGAGATACAGTCTTGCTCTGTCACCCAGGCTGGAGTGCATTGGTGCAATCTTGGCTCACTGCAACCTCTGCTTCCCAGGTTCAAGCAATTCTCATGCCTTAGCCTCCAGAGTAGCTAGGATTATAGGCGTGCGCCACCACGCTTGGCTAATTTTTGTATTTTTTTTTTAAATAGAGATGTGGTTTCACCATGTTAACCAAGCTGGTCTGGAACTCCTGACCTTAAGTGATCCATCCACCTTAGCTGGGTGGATCCCAAAGTGCTGGGATTACTGGCGTGAGCCACCACACTTGGCCAAAACTGGATAATTTTTAGGGTCACTTCCTTCCCTAATATGGCCAGGTTCTACTATCCCAAGCATGGATCCCTGAGTTCCTGCACATGTCTACCTTCCCAAAGGACAGGTGACAAGCTCCATTCTACCCTTCTCTGTGGAGCATCTCTAAGTCTTGGGAATTCTTTCAAGGTGGGAAATAAACTTATAGGATTAAGAGTCATAACTATACAAAAAGGCATTGAAACTGGCCCAGCTGTCCCTTGGAACTGATGTTTATGGTTTCATTGAATAAACATAAAAATGATCCTCCCAGTCATAAAACTTGAGAAAGTTACATTTATCTTATCTGAGTTCCTTTCTTAGGAAGCCAACCATCAGGCCTCCCAGATAGTATCAAGGAGCTGAAAGTTACCAGATCATGACATCTGGACAATGAGATGCCAGACTCCTCACCCATCATGGTTGCCTAACAGACCACCTGCTTCTTGTTGACCAACTTCCCTTCCTAACCCCTCCCTAATTCCTGTTTTCCCACACATGGTTACATTTCTTCCCTATTATATAAATCCATAATTTTAGCCAGCCAGGGAGATAGATTTGAGACTGATCTCCCATCTCCTTGGTGGCAGTGCCTGATTATAGCCTTCTTCTCTGGCAATACTTGTTGTCTCAGTGATTGGCTTTCTGTGCAGTAAACTGATCCCCTGACATTTCAGCAACAGCATTACAGAGAAACCTCATTTCCACCCTTGCCTCCTTCACTTTTCCCCTCTCTCCTTCCACCTGAGGTAACATTTTTACAGAGATGTATTCTGACCATTTTTTCTTCCCTAAGTGGCAGCATATGCTTTACTGTTCTGAAAAGTGCTTTTTTCACTTAGCAATAATAAATCAGGAACCTTTTCTACATAAGTTCATAGACATCTTCCTCTTTCTTTCTTATAGCCAATATTATATTTAATCCATTATGTGGCTGGACCATAAATTATTCAGTAAGTCCCCATTACTAGACACTTGAATTGTTTCCACTCTTTTGCTATCACAGTGTCTCAATTAATACCCTTGTGCTATGTCATTTCATTTTTATGCATGGATTGGTATTTCATGAACATATCTTATATATGTGCCCCATATGCTGGGTTAAAGCATAAATGCAAAGAGTCTCTGTTCCCTTAAAGCTTCACCAGGCCAGGCGTGGTGGCTCACGCCTGTAATCCCAGCACTTTGGGAGGCCGAGGCAAGTGGATCATGAGGTCAGGAGATCGAGACCATCCTGGCTAACATGGTGAAACCCTGTCTCTACTAAAAACACAAAAAATTAGCCGGGCATGGTGGCGGGCACCTATAGTCCCAGCTACTCGGGAGGCTGAGGCAGGAGAATGGCCTGAATCTGGGAGGCAGAGCTTGCAGTGAGCCCAGGTCGCACCACTGCACCCCAGCCTGGGCAACAGAGCGATACTCCGTCTCAAAAACAAAACAAAAAAAGCTTCACCAACAGAGTACATTGTCCAACTTTAGGATTTGGGGATTTTTACCAATCTGTTTGGTAGAAAAAAATGGTGTCTCACTATAGTTTTAATTTGCATTTGTTTTATGAGAAAGGTTGAACTTCTTTTCATGAATTTAAAGACTTTTTATATTTTTGGTGTGTAAACTATCTCTTTATGTCCTTTGCTCTTTCTGTTTTGGATTGGTGGTGTGTGTAGTTTTTTTTTTTTTTTTTTTAGATGGAGTTTTGCTCTGGTTGCCCAGGCTGGAGTGGAATGGTGCAATCTTGGCTCACCACAACCTCTGCTTCCTGGGTTCAAGCAATTCTCCTGCCTCAGCCTCCTGAGTAGCTGGGATTACAGGCATGTGCCACCACGCCTGGCTAATTTTGTATTTTTAGTAGAGATGGGGTTTCTCCATGTTGGCTAGGCTGTTCTCGAACTCCTGACCTCAGGTGATCCTCCCACCTCGGCCTCCCAAAGTGCTGGGATTACAGACGTGAGCCACCGTGCCCAGCAGTGGTGTGTGTGTTTTTTTTAAACTGCATTGGTGGTCTTTTTCTTCTCAATTTCTAGAAGCTCTTTGTAAATTACAGCATTAGCCCTTGGTCTTTTGCTTGTTTGTTTGTTTGTTTTTGAGACACAGTCTCACTCTATCCCCCAGGCTGGAGTGCAGTGGCGCAATCTCGGCTCACTGCAACCTTCGCCTCCTGGGTTCAAGTGATTCTCATGCCTCAGCCTCCCCTGAGCAGCTGAGATTACAGGCATCTGCCACCATACTCAGCTAATTTTTGCATTTTTAGTAGAGACGGGGTTTCACCATGTTGGCCAGGCTGGTCTCGAACTGACCTCAGGTGATCTGCCTGGCTCGGCCTCCCAAAGTGCTGGGATTACAGGTGAGAGCCACCATACCCAGCCAGCCCTTGGTCTTTGATATGAGTTGCAAGTACTTATTCCAGCTCTTTTTATGTATTTTGCCTTTTATTTATAACTTTATTTATTTATTTATCTATCTATCTATCTATTTTGAGATGATGTCTCGCTCTGTCGCTCACGCTGGAGTGCAATGGCGTGATTTCAGCTCACTGCAACCTCTGCCTCTCAAGTTCCAGCGATTCTCCTGCCTCAGCCTCCCCAGTAGCTGGGATTACAGGGAACACTACCACATCCAGCTAAAATTTTTTTTTTTTTTTTGTATTTTTAGTAAAGACAGGGTTTCTCCATGTTGGCCAGGCTGGTCTCAAACTCCTGACCTCAAGTGATCCGCCCGCCTCGGCCTCCCGAATTGCTGGGATTACAGGTATGAGCCACCGCGCCCAGCCTTTATATAAAAGTTTAATGAAACATTTTATTTTGAGATAAATATAGATTCAAATACAGTGGTTAAAAAAAAATATGGAGCCATCTCATATATCCTTAGTCCAGTGCCCCCAGTGGTAACATATTACAAAACTGCAGTACAATATAGTTATAATTTTTTTTGCCATACAAAAGCTTTTTCTTGCTGTTTTTAACATAGTGGAATATATCAGTCTTTTTATGGCTTCTGGGTTTTGACTCTAAGACTCTCTTGCAATATTTGTGTCACTGCTAGAGGGATCAGTTACTTCCATGACTCTCTTAGACTTAGTTCCTCAGGGAAAAGGAATTCCTGGAGAGTTGCCTCTTGGCCTCCACCATGACTTTTGCTCTCCCTACAGAGCCTACTGCCCCACCCTCTGGCCTTGGCCTTGGTAGTGCAGTTTCTGGCCACACAGACAATTCAACTTAGCTGGAGATGCTGGTGCTGGAGTCTCCTACTGAGTCTTGAAGGTTCTACACATGAGCCCTTCTGGCTGGTGAGTCACTACCGTCAGGTCGGGTACCTGGGCTGGTGGGGGTGGCAGTGCCATTTCTGGTGCCCTGTCTGTCCAGTGCCCCCTTGGCCTGGGGCAAACCTCTTGATGGTTGGTTCTTCAACTCCAGGAGCCTCTTCCTCTCGACAACTCTCCTGCCTTTTCTTCCCACTACAGATTCAGGGGCTTTGAAGTCAAATCCATCCCCAGGCTGCTATCGACTACCTGGCATTTCTACTGCTTAAGCCACAATCACAGGGCTTCCTACACTTGACCTGTAATTGAATTTCCTTGGGAACTCAATGACAAGATTGATTCAGCCTAATTGAGTCAATGATCAACTCTCCCTGCTTTTATCTAGTCCTTGTTTCTGCCTGGGGATGCCTGGGCTGAGGCTATGAGACTTTCACAGTTTTTGTTTAAAGAGTTAAAAGCCGGCTGACGCCTTTTTTATTTTTTCCCACCTATTTGCATTTTGGCAACTGACACCTCTTAAAAACCATTTATTTAAAAGATCCTGCAGAACATAACCTTTCTTCACCTTCTGTCTAAGCCAGCTGAGGTCAGAGGAAACGCCTGTTTTTAAACTTGTGTGTGTTCTCCTCATATGAATGTTAAAATGCAATTCTAAGAAATACAAAAGGCCAGGTATAGTGGTATGCACCTGTAATCCCAGCACTTTGGGAGCCTAATCCGGGAGGATTACTTTTTTGAGCCCAGGAGTTTGAGGTTGCAGTGAGCTGTGATGGTCCCATTACACCCCAGCCTGGGTGCCACAGTGAGACCCTGTCTCTAAGGTAAAAATTTTAAAAAGGAAGAAATTAAAAAGTCCAGCCTCAAAAGCAGGTTTGGAAATGAATGAAAAGTCAGCTTTTGGGTGGTTCTTAAAAATTTTTTTTTAAATTTATTTTGAGACAAGGTCTCACTCTGTTGCCCAGACTGGAGTGCAGTGGCGTGATTTCAGCTCACTGCAACCTCAACCTCCCGGGTTCAAACAATTAGGGTGCCTCGGCTTCCTGAGTAGCTGGGATTACAGGCATATGCCACCATACCCGACTAATTTTTTTTGTATTTTTAGTAGAGACGGGGTTTCACTGTGTTGGCCAGGCTGATCTCAAACTCCTGACCTCAAGTGATCTGCCCGTCTCGTTCTCCCAAGGTGCTGGGATTACAAGCATGAGCCACTGCAACCAGCCATTTAAAAAAGTTTGTTGATATGACTCAATAATAAAAAGGCAACCCAATTTTAAAATGAACAAAGGATCTGAATAGAAATTTTTCTAAAGAAGGTATAAAAACAGCCGGTGCAGTGGCTCACGCCTGTAATCCCAGCACTTTGGGAGGCCGAGGCGGGTGGATCACGAAGTCAGGAGATCAAGACCATACTGGCTAACACGGTGAAACCCTGTCTCTACTAAAAATACAAAAAATTCGCCGGGCGTGGTGGCGCCACCTGTAGTCCCAGCTACTTGGAAGGCTGAGGCAGGAGAATGGCGTGAACCTGGGAGGTAGAACTTGCAGTGAGCTGAGATCATGCCACTGCACTCCAGCCTGGGCGACAGAGTAAGACTCCGTCTCAGAAAAAAAATAAAAAATAATAATTAAAAAAAAGCCAATAAGCATATGAAAAGATGTTCAACATTATTAGCCATCAGGGAAATGCAAATTAAAACCACAATGAGATATCACATAACACCCACTAAGATGGCCATAATAATAAAGATAGATAATAGCAGGTGTTAGTGAGGTTGTGAGAAGCTGGAACACTCACATGCTCCTGGTGGGAATGCAAAATGGTGCAGCCACTTTACAAACAATCTGGCAGTTCCTCAAAAGGTTAAACATAGAGTTACCATGTGACCCAGCAATTCTACCCCAGATTTATACACAAGAGAAATGAAAACACATGTCCACACAAAAACTTACATACAAATATTCATGGCAGCATTATTCATAATAGCCAAAAAGTAGAAACAACCCAAATGTCCATCAACTGATGAACAGATAAACAAAATGTGGTCTATCCATACAATGGAATATTACTCAGCCATAAAAGGTAATGAAGTACTAATCCATGCTACACCTTTTTTTTTTTTTTTTTTTTTGAGACGGAGTTTTGCTCTTGTCACCCTGGCTGGAGTGTAACAGCATGATCTCCACTCACTGCAACCTCCGCCTCCCGGGTTCAAGCAATTCTCCTGCCTCAGCCTCCCAAGTAGCTGGGATTACAAGCGTGTGCCACCACACCTGGCTAGTTTTTGTATTTTTAGTAGAGATAGGGTTTCACCATGTTGGTCAGGCTGGTCTCGAACTCCTGACCTCAAGTGATCCACCTGCCTTGGCCTCTCAAAGTGCTGGGATTACAGGCGTGAGCCACTGCACCCAGCCCGGCACAGATGAACCTTGAAAGCATTATGTTAAGTGAAAGAAGCCAGTCACAAAAGACTGCGTATTGTATGATTCAATTTAGATGAAGTGTCCAGAATAGGCAAATCTGTAGAAAAAGAAAGTAGATTGTTGTGGTTGCTCAAGGCAGGGAAGGATGGGGAGGTGGCGGGTTGATGGCGAAACAGTGCAAGATTTCTTCTTGGGATGATGAAAATGTTCTACAGTTGATTGTGGTGATGATGGTGCAACTCTATGAATATATTAAAAATCATTGAATTGTACACTTTTATTTGTATAGTGTGTGACTTATATCTCGATCAGACTGTTAGAAGAATGGTTAGTGCCAGGAGGGGAACTTCTCTATGCAAAGCCTTACAAAGTGGGGGAAAAAAGGTGAATAGCAGTATGGGCATCATCTGGGAGCTCAGAAATGAAGAATCTCAGGGGTTTCCCAGTTTTTGTTTAAATAGTCAAGAACCGACTGAGGATGGTTTCCCAGATCCACTGAATCAGAATCTGCATTTGAACAAGATCCGCAGGCAATTTGTATTCACAGAGGCCTGTGAAGCACTGGACTAGAAAACATTGTACACTGCAAATAAAAAACTATCCAGGCTGGGCGCAGTGGCTCACGCCTATAATCCCAGCACTTCGGGAGGTCAAGGCAGGTGGATCACCTGAGGTCAGGAGTTCGAGACCAGCATGGCCAACATGGTGAAACCCCATCCCTACTAAAAATACAAAAATTAGCAGGGCATGGTGGTGGACACCTGTAATTCCAGCTACTCGGGAGGCTGAAGCAGGAGAATCGTTTGAACCCAGGAGGCGGAGGTTGCAGTGAGCTGAGATCTTGCCACTGCACTCCAGCCTGGGCGTCAGAGCGAGACTCTGTCTCCAAAAAAAAAAAAGCCTGTAATCCCAGCACTTTGGGAGGCCAAGGGGAGAAGATTGCTTGAGTCCAGGACTTCGAGACCAGCCTGGGCAATATACTGAGACCCCTAACTATACAAAAATTGTAAAAATTAGCCGGGCATGGTGATGCACGCCTGTTGTCCCGGCTGTGGGGGAATTTGGGGGGAGCTGAGACAGAAGGATAGCTTGAGCCGGGAGGTTGAGGCTGGAGTGATCCGTGAACTGCACTCCAGCCTGGGCAACAGAATGAGACTCTGTTTCAAGAAAAAAAGAAAAGAAAAGAAAAAATAATAAACAAGTAAATAAATAAAAACTATTGGGCCAGGTGCGGTGGCTCACGCCTGTAATCCCAGCACTTTGGGAGGCGGAGGCAAGCAGATCACCTGAGGTCGGGAGTTCGAGACCACTGACCAACATGGAGAAACCCCATCTCCATCAATAATACAAAAATTAGCCTTGCGTGGTGGCGCATGCCTGTAATCCCAGCTACTCAGGAATCTGAGGCAGGAGAATCGCTTGAACACAGGAGGTGGAGGTTGTGGTGAGGCGAGATCACATCATTGCACTCCAGCCTGGGCAACAAGAGGGAAACTCCATCTCAGAACAAAACAAAAAACAAAGCAAACAAACAAACAAAAAAACAACTATCCCTCGTTGGCCTGGTTCTGTCTCAAGTAGTTTTGCAACTCATGTAAGTGCAGTAGATAGTCTCCAAAGGTGGCTACTATTTGAGATAGGAAATATCAACACTTATGATGTTTCTGACACCAAAATATGTGTGTGTGTGTGTGTGTGTTGGAGTGAGAGGTCCCCACACATCAAGCAGTTCTGCAGCAGATACTAGCTGGGTGTCAATAATTCAATTCAATTCTGACACTATCCACTTGAAGATAGCATCAGATCCCAGACTGTCCAGCGGAGTTGAGGCTTCAGATTGGCTGACACTGCAAATCCTGAGTGAGAGTTATCAGGTTAAGTCCAGCAACCCACAGAACCATGAGCAACAATCACATATTTTTGCTGAAGCCACGAAGTTTTGGGGTGGTTTGTCACATAGCAATACATAGAGCAATATGTTATCCTGAGGCCAGTCACCTGACAACTGCCTGAAACCAGAGGTAATGGTTAGCAAAAACTTCTGTAACCAAATCTAGTGCTGTATACCAGGAACTAGTGATTTGTTTTATTACCTAAATTTAAAACCCCTTAATATGCCTCCCAGTTACCTGGTTCAAGACACCAGAAAAGAAAATGAGAGGAGGGTCCGGGTGCGGTGGCTCACGCCTGTAATCCCAGCACTTTGGGAGGCCGAGGCGAGTGGATCAAGAGGTCAGGGGTTCGAGACCAGCCTGACCAACATAGTGAAACCCCGTCTCTATTAAAAATACAAAAAAAATTTAGCCGGGCGTGGTGGCAGGCGCTTATAGTCGCAGCTACTCGGGAGGCTGAGGCAGGAGAATGGTGTGAACCCGGGAGGCGGAGGTTGCAGTGAGCCAAGTCGTGCCACTGCACTCCAGCCTGGGCGACAGACTGAGACTCCGTCTCAAAGAAGAAAAAAAAAAGAAAAAGAAAATGAGGGGAGGAGAAGAACAATGGAAAAATGGGAACAGGCTGGGCCCAGTGGCTCACACCTGTAGTCCCAGCACTTTAGGAGCCCGAGGCAGGTGGATCACCTGAGGTCAGAGTTCAAGACCACCCTGGCCAATATGGCAAAACCCTGTCTCTACTAAGAATACAAAAATTAGCCTGGCATGGTGGCGCATGCCTGTAATCCCAGCTACTCAGGAGGCTGAGGCAGGAGAATCGCTTGAACATGGGAGGCGGAGGTTGCAGTGAGCCAAGATTGCACCACTGCACTCCAGTCTGGACAACAGAGCAAGACTCTTTCTCAAAAAAACAAAACAAAACAAAACAAAAACAGAAGAAGAAGAAGAGTAGGAACAGCATAACAACATGAAAGCCCGAAAAATAAATACCTAAGCTTTCTTAAACAATACTTTACATCTATACTTACGTGATGTACCTCTATCATTAGTCATTGTGAATGACTGATGTTTATAAGTGACAGAAAAACAGAAATGAAAGACAATTCCAAATAACTGCAAATGTTATAATTAGATTACAAAAGAAATGCCTTTTTTTTTTTCTTTTTGAGGCAGAGTCTGTCTCTGTTGCTCAAGCTGGAGTTCCGTGGCACGATCTCGGATCATTGCTACCTCCGCCTCCTGGGTTCAAGCGATTTTCCTGCCTCAGCCTCCCAAGTAGCTGGGATTACAGGTGTATGCCACCATGCCCAGCTAATTTTTGTATTTTTAGTGGAGACAGGGCTTCACCATGTTGGCCAGGCTCATCTCGAACTCCTGACGTCAGGTGATCCACCTGAGGAGGCCTCAGCCTCCCAAAGTGCTAGGATTACAGGCGTGAGCGACCGTGCCTGGCCGAAATGCCTTATTTTAAACACTTAAGAAAAATAAAGTACATGTAATGTCAAAAAAAATTCCATTTATAAAAGCGATTAAAAAATCTTTAAAATATCTGAGAAAAGATTAACACAAAATGTTCAGGACTTATAAATTGTAAAATCATGAAGCTTTAAGAATAAAAACAGAAAGGGATGCATGGAAAGAAAGAACAAAAATGAGAAATGCACTATTATCAAGAGGAAAATTGTCCTAAATTAATTTGTATTATATCTTGTTTCTTTGATGCCTTCATTTATTATCTCTAGTAATTTTGAGGTGCTTTTCATTTCATTTGCATAACATGATCATTTTATTTCTTCCTTTTCTTTATGTATATCTTTCTTTCTCTTCTCAAATAGCTTTGTCAGAATTTTTAGAGCTACGTTGAATAGTAGTAATAAGATATCCTTGTCTTGTTCCTATTTTAAAGAGGAATAATTCATGTTCTCCATTAAGTGTAATTTTGACTTTTGGTTTTCAATAGAGCCTTTTTGTCATGTTAAAGAGGCAACCTTTTATTGCTTTTAGGGAGAGTTTCCATGAAGAATTCCCTCTGGCATTTGTGGAAATAATTATATGAATTTTTTCCAATAATATTATTGGTTATGTGGAAAATTGAGCTTTAGTGGGGGATGTTTATAAGTGACAGAAAAACAAAAATGAAAGACCATTTGAAATAAGTTCAAAAACAGAATTGGTTAAAAAGTACATGTTCTTTTTTTCTTCTTTTTTGAGACAGGGTCTTACTCTGTCACCCAGGGTGGACTGCAGTGGCATGATGATAGCACTGATCTCAATCTCCCGAGCTCAAGCAATCCTCCCGCCTCAGTTTCCAGAGTAGCTGGGACTATTTTTAGTACAGATGAGGTCTGCTATGTTGCCCAGGTATGGAACTCCAGAGCTCAATCGATTCTTGCGCCTCAGCCTCTCACACTTTTGGGATTACAGGTGTGAGCTACCACACCTTTAAAATTCCTTTAAAAATTATACTTTATTAAAATTTATACTATATTCTGATTGCTAAAATTTTATTTAGAATGTTTGCATATCTACTAATTTATGAGATTACCATGTAAACTATTTTTTATGCTGTTTCATTAGGTGTGATGATAAAAATCTGTTTCATCAAAGGAAATGAGACAATTTATTTAAAAGGTAATATAGGCCAGGTGTGGTGGCTCACGCCTGTAATCCCAGCACTTTGGGAGGCCGAGGCGGGCAGATCATGAGGTCAGGAGTTCGAGACCAGCCTGACCAACGTAGTGAAATCCCGTCTCTACTAAAAATACAAAAATTAACCCGGCATGGTGGTGCGTGCCTGTAATCCCAGCTACTCAGAAGGCTGAGACAGGAGAATTACTTGAACGTGGGAGGCAGTGGTTGCAGTGAGCCAAGATCACGCCATTGCACTCCAGCCTGGGTGACAGAGCGAGACTCCATCTCAAAATAAATAAAATAAAATAAAATACACTACAATATAAAGAGCAATAAAATTAAAAAAAATTTTTTTTAAACTCACTACATTGCCCAGGCTGGTCTCAAACTCCTGGCCTCAAGCAAGCCTGCCTCAGCCTCCCAAAATGCTGTGATTACAGGTGTGAGCTACCACGCCCAGCCTTTTAAAATATATATATATATAATGCTGGGCACGGTGACTCACACCTGTAATCCCAGCACTTTGGGAGGGCAAGGCAAATCACGAGGTCAGGAGTTCAAGACCAGCCTGGCCAACATGGTGAAACCCCAACTCTACTAAAAAAATACAAAAAATTATCCAGGCGTGGTGGCACGTGCCTGTAATCCCAGCTACTCGGGAGGCCGAGACAGGAGAATCACTTGAACCCAGGAGGCAGAGGTTGCAGTGAGCACAGATCTCACCATTGCACTCCAGCTTGGGTAACAAGAGTGAAACTCTGTCTCAAGAAAACAACAACAACAATAAAAATGTATATGTATATAATATAATAAATAAAAAATATGTAATACATTTGATATACATTGCTCTGTCACCCAGGCTAGAGTGCTGTGGTGCAATCATAGCTCACTGCAGCCTTGAACTCCTGGGCTCAAGCAATTCTCCTGCCTCAGCCTCCCCAGTAGCTAGGACTTCAGGTGCACACTACCACCTGAAAATTTTTTAAAGTCCAATTTCAATAGAAATAAAAGAAATAATAAATAAAACCATAAGGAGATACCAAAATTGACAACTTTTAAAATAATCCCAGTTCAGGATAAAAAAGGGATACATGGATGCTGGAAGTATAAATCAGTACAACCTTAACATTGTACATAAATACTTCAATCCAATGGAGCTTGGTGGAGGGGAGAGGATGATAGGGTACAAATGATATTTAGTTTATTCTTTCCTGCACTTTTTAAGTTTTCTTTTCTTTTTCATTTCTTTTTTTTTTTTTTTGAGGCAGAGTTTCACTCTTGTTGTCCAGGCTAGAGTGCAATGGCACGATCTTGGCTCACCGCAACCTCCACCTCCCAGGTTCAAGCAATTCTCCTGCCTCAGCCTCCTGAGTAGCTGGGATTACAGGCACCTGCCACCACGCCTGGCTAATTTTGTATTTTTAGTAGAGACGGGGTTTCTCCATGTTGGTCAGGCTGGTCTCGAACTCCTGACCTCAGGTGATCCACCCACCTTGGCCTCCCAAAGTGCTGGGATTACAGGCGTGAGCTACCACTCCCGGCCTAAATTTTCTACATATATAAAAATATATTACTTTCATAATAAAATATGCATATTCAAATTGAAACCTCAGTGCGATATCACTGCACAGCCACCAGAATGGCTAAGATGGGAAGCAACAACCATACTGAATGTTGGTGGGAACGGGGAGTAACTGGAACCCTCATGCATTACTGGGAGGTGTATAAATTGGTTCAACCACTTTAGAAAACCAAAGCTAAATCTAGAGCCACCAGCAATTTCACTCCTAGATAAATACTCAACAGAAACAAGAGCACATGTCCATCAAAAAACCTATACAAGAAGGCCAGACACAGTGGCTCACGCCTGTAATCCCAGCACTTCGGGAGGCTGAGGCAGAAGGATCTCCTGAGCTCAGGAGTGTAAGGCTAGCCTAGGCAACATGGCGAAACCCCATCTCTACAAAAAAATACAAAAACTAGCTGGGCATGGTGGTGTGCACCTGTAGTCCCAGCTACTTATGGGGCTGAGGAAAGGAGCGCTTGAGCCGGGGAGGTTGAAGCAACAGTGAGCCATGATCACACCACTGCACTCCGGCCTGGGTGACACAACGAGACCCTATATTAAAGAAAACAAACAAAAAAAACTGCACAAGAATGTTCATTGAAGTTTTAGTTGGAGTATCTTCAAACTAGAATGCCTGTTTTTTAGAACTCAAATGTCTATTTTGTTTTTTTGAGATGGAGTTTCACTCTTGTGGCCCAGGCTGGAGTGCAGTGGCGCGATCTTGACTCACTGCAACCTTCACCTCCTGGGTTCAAGCGACTCTCCTGCCTCAGCCTCCCGAGTAGTTGGGATTATAGGCGCCCACTGCCACACCCAGCTAATTTTTGCATTTTTAGTAGAGACAGAGTTTCACCATGTTGGCCAGGTTGATCTCAAACTCCTGACCTCAGGTGATCCTCCTGCCTTGGAAGGAAGGAAGGCAGGCAGGCAGTCCCTGCGTAGTGGCTCACACCCATAATCCCAGCTCTTGGGAGACTGAGGTAGGTGGATTACCTGAGGTCAGGAGTTCAAGACCAGCCTGGCCAACATGGTGAAACCCTGTCTCTACTAAAAATACACAAAAATTAGCCATGCATGGTGGCACATGCCTGTAGTCCCAGCTACTCGGGAGGCTGAGGCAGGAGAATTGCTTGAGCCTGGGAGACGGAGGTTGCAGTGAGCCAAGATCATGCCATTGCACTCCAGCCTGGGCGACAGAGTGAGACTGTCTCAGAAAGAAAAGAAAAGAAAAGAAAATGCTTAATGTCCTGAAAAATGTTCATCTTCACAATATAAATATATATTTAATAAATAGTATAAGCTAAAGGTGCAAAATAGTATACGTAAGTGTGAGTCCAAAAATGTAGAAAATAAAAGTGTATAAGCATAGGGAAAAAAAACTGTAAGAAGCAGACATACTACTGTATTGGTTTCGGCCCTGGAAATACAGGATATACATGGAAATGATTTCCACTAGTGTCCTCCTCTTCTAGAAATTGAATTGAGACCTGGGTTGAGCTTACCTCAGTGCTCTCTGAAACCTTAGGCTTTCTTTGTGACTTCTCTTCCGCAGCTCTAAGCCAACAAGCTCATACTGAGAAAATCATTATGAAGTATGATTGAAGCGGTCCTACTGCGGTGGGTTGTCTGAGACTGGAATCCCCCTGCGGGAACTAGAGTACCTAAATTCTACCTAAAATATCAAGAAGACTCTGAAGTGATTGCTTGCGTCAGGGAGGAAAAATGTCTTCTCCACCCTCTTAGATGCTGTTCTTGGGGGGCTGTGAATTAAACTGACAAAAGACAGATTAACAAAAGAAAAGATAAAGTTTATTCACATACTAGGAACCCACAAAGAAAATGACTTTATCCATAACTAAAGACAGGGATTTACAAGCCTACCTTAATAAGGGTAAAGGAGCAGGGAGGAAAAGGCTTCTACTGGAAGAACAAATGGGTTTATTTAGGAAAGACAAATGTATTTTTAGGAGAACAAACCAGGAGACAAGATGGTTCTTCATCATGTTTGTTTGTGGTCTTCTTCATCTTCTTCACAGCCGTGAAACTCCTCCAGAGAGGGGGCTAGTGGCAGTCTCACTCCCAGAAGTTTCTGCTTTTAGTCAGATAAGGGAGTATTCAGACAAAGCCTCTTTCTGCATCTGTTGATTCTCAAATGTCTTCAGGTCATAATAATTTTTACGACACAGTGGTATAATTTGGATCCTTTCCCTTGTATAGAAAGGTAATATTTTGAAATATTACTCACTTTTTTCCCCATTTTTCCTGTTAAAGCTTAACCCTTCCTCATTTACCTTTCCAAGTATTCTGAATTCACTGCCTCAGGGAAAATGTGGTACATCTAGGTGTATAAGAATAATTCCCTCTCTCTTTCTCTTTTTTTTTTTTTTAGAGACAGGGTCTCATTCTGTCACTCAGGCTGGAGTGCAGTGGCGCAATCACGGCTCACTACAGTCTCTACCTTCCAGGCTCAAACGATCCTCCCACCCCTACCTCCCAGAGGTGTGCACCACCACACCTGGCTAATTTTTGTATTTTGTTTTTAAAATTGGGGTGGGGGGTTCACTATGTTGCCCAAGCTGGTCTCGAACGCCTGTCTTGACTTCCCAAAATGCTGAGATTACAGGCGCGAGCCACAGGAAAAATTAAGTCTTCTGCTGGCTTTTAAACTTCCAAGGTCTAGGTCTGGTGGGACACAGGAAGGAACCTGGCAAATAGGATGTAAGGGCTGGGCTCTTGGCTCCCAAGACAGAAGACTGAGAGAAAGGGGTTGAATTTGTGTGGAATGCTCTCAACCCCACCCCCAGCATCAGCTGAACCTCAAGGTCGGGGCACAGAATCAGACACCGCTAAGTTTGAGGATCCTTGGGGTGGACCCCAAGATGGAAAAATACCCCAAAGCAGAAACGGCAGAGTGGTAACGGGGCAGAGGCCTCCCGGGGTCTGCCTGGCCCAGCCTGGACAGAGCAACAAGGGTCTTGGGAGTCCCACGGGGTTTCCCTGAGCCCAGAGGACCACAGGAGCAGCAGATGGAATTTCTGGGCCCCAGAGAAGGACATGGGGATTTCAAGGAGGATCACCTGCCCCGGAGAGGCCCCTGGGATGAGAACACAGGAAAAACAGCAGCAATAGCCTGGAGCTCCGGATGGGATGAAGCACATGCAACCACAGCATGATGTTGGGGAGAGGCAGGGGCCCTGCGGACTGTGCTCAGATTTGGGAGGGTTCCATGAAGGTGAGTATAGATGTGTGTTTTATTTTGTTTTTTATTTTTATTTATCTTTTATTAAAGACATGCTATTTTGACAAGTAGATTTGCTATTTATTTATTTATTTATTTATTTTTGCGACGGAGTTTCGCTCTTGATGCCCAGGCTGGAGTGCAATGGTGTGATCTCAGCTCACTGCAATCTCTGCCTCCAGGGTTCAAGTGATTCTCCTGCCTCAGCCTCCCAAGTAGCTGGGATTACAGGCGTGCGCCACCATGCCTAGCTAATTTTTGTATTTTTAGTAGACATGGGGTTTCACCATGTTGGTCAGGCTGGTCTCGAACTCCTGACCTCAGGTGATCTGCCCACCTCGACCTCCTAAAGTGCCGGGATTACAGGTGTGAGTCACTGCGCCTGGCCGATTTTCATTTTAGAAAGAGCACACCAAGTGGGAACGCTTGGAGAGAGCCATGAAAGGACAGAGGGAGACCAAGAGTGAAGTGGTCCCAATAACCCAGGAGAGAATAAGAGCAGGATGGGAGAAGTGAGGAGAAATTTCACACAGGAAGAATCAGCAGGTCATGGTGACAAACTGGATGTGAGTGGTGACAGAGACAGAGAAAAGGTCTTTGCTGAGATAGAGAAAGCAGAAAAATAGCAGGTTTAGGAAAGGAATCCAGTGAGTTCAGTTTGGAACACACTGATCTTTGTCTATGGGACAATCTAACTGTTAGCTATCAAGTAGGTAGTTCTCATAAACTAACAGTGCCCACAACCATTGCACAAGACTGCCCAGGAACATTCCGTAATAGCAAACACTCCATATTGCTCTTAAGTTGGTGTGCATGTATGTCTAGATATAGCAGAGATGAAGTAGGATGCTGGTTTTTCATACTGGCAACTGTTGATATTGAATGCTAGAACCACAAATACTTTTGTGAAGATGATTTAATAAATTTTCAAAAATTTAAGTATTTCAGCTTTATTAGAATGATTTTGCTTAAATGTTTAATATTTATTAGTTATAACTTGCATTTTTCATCTTTCTTTTTTTTTCGAGATGGAGTCTTGCTCTGTTGCCCAGGCTGGAGTGCAGTGCCGTGATCTCAGCCCACTGCAACCTCTGCCTCCCAGGTTCAAGCCATTCTACTGTCTCAGCCTCCCAAGTGGCTGGGACTACAGGCACATGCCACCACACCGGCTAATTTTTCTATTTTTTTTTAGTAGAGAAGGGGTTTCACCATGTTGGCCAGGCGGGGCTTGAACTCCTGACCTCAAGTGATCCGCCCACCTTGGCCTCCCAAAGCGCTGGGATTACAGTCATAAGCCACGACACCCGGCTGCATTTTTTATCTTAATAGTTGAAAATATTTTCAGAAGATAAAGATTTTTAAAATACTAGAAGAAAAATCACTTCTAAAACATGACAATTTAAAATTAAAAGATTCTACACTTCCTTAATTTGCATATTTTGATGTATATTTATTGAAAATTTGTATGTTTTTATTTATTTTGGGTTTTTCTTTTTGGGTTTTTGGACTTTTTTTGAGACAGAGTCTTGCTCTGTCACTCAGGCTGGACTGCAGTGACATGAACACAGCTCACTGCAGCCTCAACCTCCTGAGATCAAGCCTCCCGAGTAATGGGGACTACAGGCACGTGCCACCACTCCTGACTAATTTTAAATTTTTTGTAGAGGCGAGGGTCTCACTTTGCTGCCCAGGTGGGTCTTGAACTACTGGACTTAGGCGATCCTCCTGACTTGGCCTCCCAAAGTGCTGGGATTACAGGCTTGAGCACCATGCCTGGCCATGTACATTTCAAAAATAATTACCATAGCCAGCCACGGTGGCTCATGCCTGTAATCCCAGCACTTTGGGAGGACCAGGCGGGCGGATCATGAGGTCAGGAGATCGAGACCATCCTGGCTAACACACTGAAACCCCTTCTCTCCTAAAAATACAAAAAATTAGCCGGGCGTGGTGGTGCACAGCCTATGTGGCCATGGGCTTTGTTACATCTGGATAGAGCCCTGAAACACCTGCAGCCAGTCTGAGGAGGAAGCCGGTGTTGAGGAGGGAAGGATAGACACGAAAAGAACCTGAGTTCCTGGCAGGGTGTGGCGGTTCAGCTTGTAATCCCAGCACTTTGGGAGGCCGAGGCGGGTGGCTCACGAGGTCAGGAGTTCCAGACCAGCCTGACCAAGATGGTGAAACCCCGTCCCTACTAAAAATACAAAAATTAACCAGGCATGGTGGCGAGTGCCTGTAATCCCAGCTACTTGGGAGGCTGAGGCAGGAGAATCACTTGAACATGGGAGGTGAGCCAAGATTGTGCCAGTACACTCCAACCTGGGCGACGAGGGAAACTCCATCTCAAAAAAAAGAACCTGAGTTCCTGACTTCATTGTGCCATTAACCTTACCACACTCGGAGCCCACCCTGTTTCTGTGTCCTTCTTGCTAAAGACAACGTGAGTCAGGGTTTCAATTACGTGCCACCAAAATCATCCTAATGGATACATCATCCAAAAAATGCCTTGTGGGACACTGACAAATCTATGCCCTGAAGGCAACCTGTCCAGGTCACATGCACACAGAGGTTACTCTGTAAGTTCATTTCAAGCAAATAAGGGCAAGGCATTCTAGCATGGGAAATGACACGCCAGGGTGTCCTCAGTGAGTATTATTTGTACTTTTACTACACATCTGGTGGAAGTGTAAACTGGTGCGATCTTTTTGAAAAACAATTTGGCATTATGTTTTAAGGATCTTAAAAATGTTCAGACTGTTCGAACCAGTAATTCCACTTCTAGAAAACAGAGACACCAAGGTGTACATATGAGAATATTCATTCATCATTATTTATAACAGCAAAGAATGGTAAATATTTATTTAGTCCAATAAGTGGGGACTAAATAAATTTATATTATATATATATTTTATATAAAATTATATAAATATATATAAATTTATATAACAACAGTCATATAAATTATGGTCATATAAATTATGGTATACCTTGAGGACATAAAATTAAACAGCAGTTGAAAATTGTTTTAAAATAATATGTAATGAGATTAAGAGAAAAAAATTTGATGAGAACTATATGTACAATGTAATTCCGTTTATGTATGTGTGTGAGTGTATTAAAAAAGAAAATGATTCTCTGGGTGACAGAATTTCAGTTGATTTCTATTTTCTTATTTATAATTTTGCTTTCTAATCTTCTGTAATGAACAAGCTTTATAGGAGAAAATAAAGGTTTAAAATTCCAGTTAAGGCCGGACGCGGTGGCTCACGCCTGTAATCCCAGCATTTTGGGAGGCCGAGGCAGACAGATCCTGAGGTCAGGAGATCGAGACCATCCTGGCTAGCATGGTGAAAACCCGTCTCTACTAAAAATACAAAAAAATTAGCCGGGCGCGGTGGCGGGCGCCTGTAGTCCCGGCTACTCGGGAGGCTGAGGCAGGAGAATGGCGTGAACCCGGGAGGCGGAGCTTGCAGTGAGCCGTGATCACACCACTGCACTCCAGCCTGGGCGACAGAGGGAGACTCCGCAAAAAAAAGAACGAGATCATGTCTTCTGTGGGAACATGGATGGAGCGGGAGGCCATTACCCTCAGTAAACTAACGCAGGAACAGAAAACCAAATTCCGCATATTCTCACTTATAAGTGGGAGCTAAATACTTACGAATACCAAGAGAGGAACAACAAACAGTGCTGCCTACTTGAGGCTGGAGGGTGGGAGGAGGGAGCGGGGCAGAAAAGATAATTCTTGGGCACTGGGCTTAGTACCTGGGTATTGAAATAAGCGGTACAACAAACCCTCAAGACATGAATTTACCTATGTAACAAACCTTCACATGTACTCCCGAACCTAAAATAAAAGTTAAAAAAAATACACACACACTTTAAGATGCTGCTAGTGAGAGAATTTGGAGATTTATAGAGAATGTGAGTTACAGAGCATTCCAGTTGCTTCTCGCTTGCCAGGCATCTTTCTCTTCTCCTTTCTGAGGCCTGCCTTCTCTCACTTTGCTGTCAGCAGCTCTCTTGGCTCTTGCCCAGCCCCAGCTCTCAGAGAATTTCCTGTAGGTACACAGCAGCAGCTTTCCACAGAGCTGGAATACTCCTTTGTTTTCTTACTATTTTCCCTTGTCAGCAACTTAATACAATTTGACATATGCATTACATGCATTTGGATGTTTTGTTTTTCTGAGGGATTTTCTTTTTTCTTTTTTTGGTGGGGGAGGTGGGGGGGAGATGAGGTTTTGCTGTGTTGCCCAGGCTTGTGTTGAACTCATGGCCTCAAGCTATCCTCCTGCCTCAGCCTCCCAAAGTGTTGGGATTACAGGCATGAGCCACTGGGCCCAGCTCTGTGCTGATTTTTCAGCTTTACGTAAACAGTATATGTACATTTTCTTCTGCAATCTGCTTTTCCCATTCAACATGACTTGTGAAATTCATGCATATGGGTTGCATGTAACTGTAGTACATCCATTTGTACTGGTGTGTGATATTTTATTATATGAAACTACCATTGGCAACAGACATTTGATTGCTTGCAGGTTTTTGCTATGACATTCTTGTCTCCTGGTGAACACGTGGGCAAGAGTTTTTCTAGGGCACATCCCTGGGGTGGATTTAGCGTGTCATAGGGATGTGTGCATCATCACATTTACTAAGTAATGATAAAATGTTTCCCGAAATGGCCTACTTATCCTTTGCGGTTCTCTCACCAGCAGAGTCTAAGTTTAGTTTCTATTGCTCCACATCCTCAGCGACACTTGATACACTCGGACCTTACAAATGTTGCCTCGCTGATGGTGTGAAGCGATAGATCACCTTGATTTCAGTGTGCACTGCCCTCCTTCCTAATGAGGCTGAGCGTCTTTACCAGTGTTTACCCCTCTGGGTGGAGCAGTCTGGCATTTCCATTGAACTCAGGTACCTTTCTCTTTGGCTTCCTTCTTTTTCCGACCATTTTCTTTCATGCTTTTCAGGAAGTAGTCTTGGCTCTTAGAGGTGCTTAACGTGCCCAATACGCACATTAATTCTCTTGGCAAGAATCTTGCCCTTAACTTGTTTACAACAATGCCAACAGCATGCTGGGGCACACTGTAGACTCTTCCAGTTTAGCCATGGTGACACTTGTGGGGCATTCCTTTTTGAACAGTACCCATTCCCTTGATGTCTACAATATTGTCTTTTTTTTTCTTTTTTTTTTTTTCTTGAGACAGGGTCTCTCTGTGTCACCTAGGCTGGAGTGCTGTGGTGCGATCTCTGCTCACTGCAACTTCCACCTCCCAAGCTCAAGGGAACTTCCCACCTCAGCCTCCCGAGTAGGTGAGGCCACAGGTGCGCACCAGCACACCAGGTTAATTTTTTTATTTTTGGTAGAGATGGGGTGGGTAGAGACAGGGTTTCGCCACGTTGCCCAGGCTGGTCTCGAACTCCTGGACTCAAGCAATCCGCCCACCTCAGCCTCCCAAAGTGCTGGGATTATAGGCTGAGCCACTGCGCCTGGCCTACAATACTGCCTTTCTTATAGATTCACATCTAGGTGGCCAAAGGAACAGCTCCATGTTTTCTAAAAGGCCCGGAGAACATAGAGTGGGTGGCCCTCCTCTATCTATCCTTTTGTGTTTGTCATTTTGGTGAATTACTGGAAGATGACACCTCCGGCTGATAAAAAGCAATTTAAATGTGCCACTTAAACTTTATGTTCCCGCCTTTATTTTTGCCATATTTCTTTCTTGCCAGCTCATCAATGCATTTAAGATTTTTTAAAAATACATTTTATCTAACATTTTTTAGGTATTTCAGTAGGAAGGTCAGCCAGGTTATCTAGGTCCACTTCATACTAGAAATACAAGTTCAACTTCCTTTACTTTTAGCAACCCAATAATGCATTAAAAAGTGTTTGCCAAACAAGGCAGGCAGCAAATAAAACAAAATTTTAAAAGTTATTTTAAAAATTACTGTCATACCACCGGGATCTAGTTATGATTCAGCAGGAGTCGAGTTATCTATTCAACCATACTTTCAGAATCAGAATTTTCTATTATTTTTTAAATGATTACTGTATTTTCTCCTAGATATTTGTTCTGGATCCATTTTTTTTCTATTGTTTCTTTCATAATTTACATATTTTCTCCCTTTTGTAAACTTGGAGATTTCCTCCAATTTTTCTTCTAGTTAATATGCATGATTTCTAGTAGAGTCAATTCTGCTTTTTGTTGTTTTTTAACTCCAAATTCTTGTTCTATGGCTGCATCTTTTTCACACCATCTTTCATTTTCCAATAATAATGCTGACTGGAATTGAAGTTCTTTCCTTTTTCCCGCATTAACTGTTTTGTAGGAGCTAATTAGTTCAATTGTGTAGCTTGGACTAACTTACATGTCCAATGCGTCTTTTCATTATCTGCACATTCACTACTAATTATTGGCATGGGTTGTCTCGGCAATTATTAGTTTTCAATTCCTCTAAGGGAGGTCCTATCCTGTGTAGGGCAGACTGCTAGTTGTCTATCGAAATCCATTCTCTCCTTCCTCTTGAGTTCCTGCATAATAATAGTCATAGCCGCATACGTGGCGGCCCAGCTAGGCTACGTTTCTAAGTCTCTTGCAGCCAGGTGCGACCATATGATCAAAGCCTTGCCAATGAAATATGAGCAAAACTGATATGTGGCATTTCCAGGTATGGGTCTTAAGACATTGGACATAGCTCTTTCCCCTGCTTGCCAGCTGGGAGTCCTAAGTGACAATGATCTTGCTTCAGCCACACAAATAACAACAGTGCTCTAGGGCAGGGGTCCCCAACCCCTGGCCACCAATCAGTAGCGGTCTGTGGACTGTTTGGAATCGGACTGCAAAGCACGAGGTGAGCGGCGGTCAAGCGAGCAAATCTTCATCTGTATTTACAGCCACTCCCCATTGCTCACATGCATTACCACCTGAGCTCCGCCTCCTGTCAGATCAGCGGCGGCCTTAGATTTTCATGGGAGCGTGAACCCTACTGTGAACTGCGCATGCGAGGGATCTGGGTTGCATGCTCCTTATGAGAATCTAATGCCTGATGATCTGTCACTGTCTCCCATTATCCCCTGATGGGACCGTCTAGTTGCAGGAAAACAAGCTCAGGGCTCCCACTGATTCTACATTATGATGAGTTGTATAATTGTTTAATTACAATGTAATAATAATAATGATAGAAACAAAGTGCACAATAAATGTAATGTGCTTGAATCATCCCCAAACCATCCGCACCCCTGTCTGTGGAAAAACTGTCTTCCACAAAGCCCGTCCCTGCTGCCAAAAAGGTTGGGGACCACTGCTCTAGGGGACAGCAGAGCAATGAGATGGAAGGAATCTGAGACTCTAAGTGACCACATAAAGCAGGACTGACTCCACTGCTCTGGACCATAACCAGGGAAATGAACTTTGTCTAAAAGTCAGTGTATCACTGGGTTTGTTATTAGCCTTCACCCTAACAAACTCCACTTCCAGGACCTTCCCCACTCCCAACCACAACAGCTCTGAGAGTTCTTAGGAGACAAAGTCCCAGGTCAACCCCCCATCTACACCCTGTGAAACCTGAGCTTCAAGAAGGCTGCACCTACTTTCTCTGCAAGTGAGTTTTTATGAACTCTTAAAATCTTTCATTCCCCCGCCCCCAGCATATTCCCACGACGATCCTGGGAGGAAAAAGTGGGGACTGCTTGACTGTGGGTTTTCTCTTCCTCCCCAGTCTCCTTGGTGGTCTTCAGATTTTAATGTGGATATAATATATACAGTTTTATTTTGTATTTATTTATTTTTTGAGATGGAGTCTCACTCTGTCGCCCAGGCTGGAGTGCAGTGGCGCGATCTCGGCTCACTGCAACCTCCACCTCCCAGGTTCAAGGGATTCTCCTGCCTCAGCCTCCCGAGTAGCTTAGATTACAGGCATGTGCCACCACACCTGGCTAATTTTTTGTATTTTTAGTAGAGATGGGGTTTTGCCAAGTTGGCCAGGCTGGTCTCAAACTCCTGATCTCAGGTGATCCACCCACCTCGGCCTCCCAAAGTGCTGGGATTACAGGCATGAGCCACCGAACCCAGCCAATATATACAGTTTTAAAAATCAACGTTGTTTTACTCACCTCATAACATGGTTAAGTCAGCATGATGCCTTTTTTGGATTGCGTTTAAAGAGCTGTTTCAGGGAATATTCTCCAGGCTGTGCTTCACGTCAAGAAAAATGTAGGGCATACTGACTGATGGCGGTAGGCGGGAATCCAGGAGATAATGAGGAGAATGAACTGGGTGTTCACTTTACCAGCTATTAAAAACCGTAGCAAACCATCACCTACCAATGATGATAGTGTGCCATGAATCTGAGAGTTTGGTCAAACCAGTGTTACATATTTAAGGTAAAAAATAGAAAAGTAAACATTTCCATACGTGGGTAAACAGACAGGGCTGGAAAAGCCCTCAAGCCTGGGGCTGCTCCTGCGCCAGTGTGCCTCCAGTTTCTCCGCTGGTGCATGCCAGAGAGTGGTCCTGTGCGGGGCTGAGGATCAAGCCGTTCTGACACAGCTGAGCAGGGCAACCCACATGTCTGGTCATTCATCTTCACCTTTTCTTCCTTTGCCCGTCCCCTGGGGGCTAGAAAGTTACTTAGGTGGAAGTAAAATGCAAACATTAGTACAAAACACTCTATGAATCCACATCCTATCATGTGTATAACTCAGGGTCAGATAGAAGGGCCCTGCCTTCTTCTCAGAATCTGGTAAACTCTGTCCCTCAAACACCCACCTCTTACCTGCCAACACCACTTTCAGAATTGTACCTGCCATCACCACTACCCTGCACCATGTGCCAGAGCTGAGAGCTGCGTGTGAGTCTCAAGGTAGGATATCCTCTTCCAGTTTCAGTTTGACTGAGTGCTTTTCAGTGTTTGTACCATGAATTTGGGGCCTTTTTAAATTTCATGTCTACGTTATTTTCTTCCCTAGTATTGTTTTTCTTTGTCCATTTTAGTGAGCATTTAAATGGAAGTTTTATAAACATGGTTTAGTTTTCTTGCCAGCAGTCTATTTTTTTTCAATTTCAACTCTCTTTTTTTTTTTTTTTCAGACAGAGCCTTGCTCTGTCACCCAGTCTGGAGTGCAGTGGCACAATCTTGGCTTACTGCAACCTCTGCCTCTCAAGTTCAAGTGATTCTCCTTCCTCAGCCTCCCAAGTAGCTGGGATTACAGGTGCCCACTACCATGCCCGGCTAATGTTTTGTATTTTTTAATAGAGACAGTGTTTCACCATGTTGGCCGGGCTGGTCTCGAACTCTTGGCCTCAAGTGATCTGTCTGCCTCGGCCTTCCAAAGTGCTGGGATTACAGTGTGAGCCACCACACCCAGCCTCAATTTCAACTTTTATTTTAGATGCAGGGCATACATGTGCAGGTTTGTTACGTGGGTATATTGCACCTAGGTAGTGAGCATAGTACCATTAGGTAGTGTTTCAACCCGCGTCCCCCTCCCTCCCTCCCTCCCTGCTCTGGGAGTCTGCAGTATCTGTTGTTCCCAAGTCTATGTTCACATGTGCTCAATGTTTACTCCCACTTAGGAGAACATGTAGTATGAGGTTTTCTGTTCCTGCACTAACGCGCTTAATTAAGATTATAGCCTTCAGCTCCATCCATGTTGCTACAAAGGACATTATTTCATTCTTTTTCATGGCTGTGTGGTATTCCATGGTGTATATGTACATTTTCTTTATCCAATCCACCCCTGATGGGCATCTAGGTTGATTCTATGTCTTTGCTATTAAGAACAGTGTGGTAATGAACATATAAATGCATGTATCTTGTTGGAATAATGACCTATTTTCCTTTGGGTATATATCCAGTGATGTGATCGCTGGGTGAAATGGTAACTCTTAAGTTTTATGAGAAATCTCTAAACTGCTTTCCATAGTGGCGGAACTTACATTCCCACTGACAGCTATATAAGCATTCCCTTTTCTCTGCAGCCTCGCCAGCATGTTGTTTTTTGACTTTTTAATAATAGTCATTCTGATAGGTATGAGATGGTATCTCATTGTGGGGTTTTGCATTAAATTGATTTGCATTTCTCTGATGATTATTAACGAGCATTTTTTCAAATGTTTGTTGGCTGCTTGCATGTCTTCTTTTGCGAAGTGTCTGTTCAGGTCCTCTGCCCATTTTTTAATGGAGGTATTTGTTTTTTGTTTGTTGATTTAAGTTCCTAATAGATTCTGGATGTTAGACCTTTGTCAAATGCATAGTTTGAGAATATTTTCTCCCATTCTGTAGGCTGTCTGTTTACTCTGTCGACAGTCTCTTTTGCTGTGCAGAAACTCTTTTGTTTAATTAGGACCCAGCACTCTAGTCTTTTACACGTTTTAAAGCTGTAAGCGTGAAGACTATAGCAACAATATGTCTGCTGGCTGGAGTAGAATCTGCCAATCTGAATCCTACAAATGCAACCTGAAAGAATTATTTTCCCTTAGAAAACTTTCTCCCCAACAACCAAATTTTAACTCAAACTCTTTATACAATAACTTACTCTTATTAAAGTTTGGGTCTGTTCTGATTATTAAAGTAACATATACTTGTTTTAGAAAATTTGGAAAATACAGAAACGTATTAAAAAACTAAGAATCACCCATAATTCCACTACCACCCAGAGTTCATTGCTCTGCAGGTTTTAGCTTTGTCCACTGAATCTTAGCCGCCCCAACTTTCCAAATCTTGTCATAGACCGTCTTCCAAAGCATTCATGTCTTTTCCCACAGGAAATGACATATAAACATGTAACATATAAAAAAAGTACTCAACCAAATGTGGTTTCTTTACGAAGTGATTCCCTACAAAACCTCTATTTTCCAAATTCCTATGAGCCAGAGACTCTGATACAGACTAATGAGCATTTATTAAAATAACAACAATGAGAGAACAAAGAGGAGAGAGGGTAGGGGGGCTCATCTCCAGACTCCCCCCCGGCTCCTCATGCTACTCGGGGCAGGGTGCCCACTTTTCTTCCGTGCGGGAGGTTTTTCAGTCTTGGGGGCTGTAGCAAGGCGGCGAGGGACAGCCTGGGAGGGAATCTGAGAGTTGAGGGAAGAGAGAGGAAGAAATCAGCGTCAGATCCTCTCAATTCCCCACCCCACTGAGGAAATGCACGTGGAGAGGGCCAGATGAGTCTGCAGGGAGGAAAGGCCATGCTACAGAATGCAGGGGTGGAATGGAGGGGCCAGCCAGGAGTGTGCAGAGGTGAAGGAGCTGGTCAGTGAGAGCCCTTTTCTCCCCTGGTCCCTGCCTGACTTTCCCTCACCTCTTTCCGGGGGATCTCACCCAAGCGGGAGTCTGTGTTCCTTCTGGGGACATTATCCCCTCGGCCATCAGTCCTGCTACACAAATCAAAGGTATGAGGATGGGGATCTCCGTCCCCCCGGTTACCCAATACTGGATGGAAGAACTACTCCCCAATTCTATCTCTTAAGAATAAGATCAAACTCGATAGACCTGGGCATCAACTGGGAGGAGACATTAGTGGAAGTAAATAACGAGTTACACTAGCTAGTCAAAAGTCTAGGATTCTGAGTTTTGAGCTGAGGGGTAAAGAGGAAAAAAACGAAGGTAGAGAGACCCGGGGAAAAGATTTTTTTGTTTAGAAGAAAAAAGCAATAGAAAGGAGGAGATAAAAGAAAAGTGTGGGGCAGTTAGAGAAGATCTGTGGATCCACCTCTCATCCTTCACTTTCCTCCCCAGAAAAGGACAACGATTCAATTCAGTGTAAAACACACCCACTCCACTCCCCATAATCCAGCTTCCACCCGGAGAATCCTTCCTCCTTCCTCCCAGGCTTGTACCCGCTGTGTTCCAGCCTCTTCAGGTAGAGCAGGAGATCCTCAGCAGGCAGAGCCCCCCAGCCCCGAGCCTGGTAGAGTCGCAACAGTTGAGACACCTCCATCAGCTGCCTTGGGAATGTAAGCCCATCTCCACCTGACAGACATCGCAATAATCACAGGCGTCATCCTAGGGCCTGTCTCCCCAGCCCTCAGCCCATTTCCCCAGGAATTCAGAAGGACTGTAAGTGCCTGTACTGGATCCACACTCAGGACTGTCCCTCCTTTTTTCCCTAATAAACCAGAACATGCTCACCTCTCTCTGGGGAACCACTGCTGGGACCACTGCCTTGTGAATGGGAGGAGGGAGGCTCAGGGACCCGGAAAAGACTGGATGCCATGGCTAAGGGAACTTTGGTTTTGTGGACAGGCGGTGGAATACGTGGCACTTGAGGGGCTTCCTCCCAAGATGGGACAGTCAGAGGACCTAGCAAAAGGAAAGAATGCCAAGAATCAGGAAATGGGGCATAGAACCAAGGAAGTCCCACCACCCAGCATTTATAAGGCTTTATTACTTTTGCCAGCTCCTAAAAATTCATCCTAGATAACCAACTCCGATCTTTCCTAGGCCCCAGCCCCAACCTTCTTCAGAGTTGGAACTCACCAGACTTAGGGGGCAACAGGTCGACAGAAGGGTTCTCATTGTTCTGGGGCACTGTCTCCAGCAACTGTGGGTGAATAAGATTGTCAAGTTCCCTAGGGACTGATAGAGAAAAACGCCCAGGGATCTGAGAGAAGAAGCTGGGACAAAGAGTTAGTCATAAACAGGGAATGAGGCCAGAGTCCTGGATTCCCAGAGCAGAAAGAGGAAAGGAGAAAGGGAAGAAGAAAGTGAGCTAGTCTGGGTGGAATCTCTCTTACCTGGTGCAAAAAATTCTTGAGGCCCTCCAGCTGAGCAGGCGGCAGCCCTTGCTTTAGGAGGCCCTCCCCGTCAGGTCCAGGATCTTCCTCAGGGAATGGCCTTTCTGCCCTATGATCGGGATGGAAGGCCCCAAGTGCAGAGAAGGCCCCAGCTATAAAGTGAAACAGGTATGGGTGGGTGCAAGTGTGTTCAGGGGGGAAGGGGCTTCTCCACAAATCAACTCACCTAATACTCAGAAGAAAGGGGCCTATTAAATGGAAGAGGAACATCACAGCTAAGAGAAGATGAAGATGGAGGTTTAAAGTAGCTGGAGAGGGAAGGGTTGGAGGTGACTGAGAGATGGCACAGCTGAATTCTAAGACAGAAATATAGACAGAAGAAAGCTGTGGTACTCAAACTCTAAACAAATAAATACCCTCACAAACTCCCTGAAGAATGGAAATGAGTAACACACATGTTCTGACCTCTTCCCCCGAATATGCCTCATTCTTTTATTATTCTCACATAATTAAAAAATTTTTAATTGTGCTACAACTAATCTCTCTTTTTTTTTTTTTTTTTGAGATGGAGTCTCGCTCTGTCGCCCAGGCTGAAGTGCAGCGGCGCGATCTCGGCTCACTGCAAGCTCCGCCTCCCGGGTTCACACCATTCTCCTGCCTCAGCCTCCCGAGTAGCTGGGACTACAGATGCCTGCCACCACGCCCGGCTAACTTTTTTGTATTTTTAGTAGAGACGGGGTTTCACTGTGTTAGCCAGGATGGTCTCGATATCCTGACCTTGTGATCTGCCCGCCTCGGCCTCCCAAAGTACTGGGATTACAGGCGTGAGCTGTAATCTCTTTTTTTTTTTTTTAAGAGACAGAGTCTTGCTGTGTTGCCCAGGCTAGAGTACAATGGCAACTTCTTAGCTCACTGTAGCCCCAAACTCCTTGGCTCAAGCAATCCTTCTGTCTCAGCCTCCCTGGGTAGCTGGAAATTTGGGTGTGTGCCACCACATCCTGCTAACTTTTTATTTTGTGTAGAGATGAGGTCTCACTATATGGGTCAGACTGGTCTGGAACTCCTGGCACCAAGCCATCCTCCCACCTCAGCCTCCCAACGCGCTAGCATTACAGGCGTGAGCCACTGCACCCGGCCCCATCCCTCATTTTTAATTCGACCTAGGTTGTCATGTTTGTACCACACAGAATGCCCCCATCCACTCAAATCACAGGTGACATTAAACTAGGGGTGGACACCACACCCAAGGTCAGCCAATCCAATCAGATGGCCTCTTTAAACTGGACCTAAAAAAACTGAGACACCGATGTCTCTATAAATGTCTAGAGGCTCAGCTAGAGTCAGTATCACAGCTGGTCAAACCCATGTGTAAACTGAAGTTATGAAGGGTGAGAACCTTGAATGCTGGTCTAGCAAGAAAAAAGAGCAGATGTGCAGGAGAGGTGGACCCAGGAGGCTATGCAGGCCCACAGAAAAGGGCCAGCTAGCTGCCTCAGTTCCTGATAGTACCCCGTTCCCAACTCCAGTTCTCATTAAGTCCAGCGATGTCATATTTCCATGAGATCTCAATCCCTTTATTTGGACCAATGTGAGCAGATTTCTGCTCCTTGCAACTTGCGATCACTAAAGGCATCTGGGAAACTAAATGCTCAAGTATCAGACAGAAAGCAGGGTACGAAAGAGGGAGCCAATTCATGCACAGAAGGGGAACCCCAGTGACTTCTGCCCCCAGTTACCTGTGGATGAAGTGAGGTCTGGTTTGGGCTCCAGGGGCTGGAAAGAATGCTGGCTCTGAAAAGAGGGGCCCAACAGGAGGCTAAGATCTGAGGAGGAACTGCAAAGAACAGGAGGCGCTCCAGGTAGCTCGTCCCTTGCTTCCCGGCTCTGCTGCAATACAGGCTTCAGGGCCACGGCCATGGGAGGCATAGTCCAGACCCTCCTCTCCTCCTTCTCGGGCTCCTGAGGCCCGGGGCTGGAGGGTCCAGCAGGAGGAGCCTGACCAGGAGAGAGGCAGAAAGAAGGGTCAAAGCACAGTAGGTTTAAAGAGATAAGACATGGTACAAACACTTTAATAAGATTATAAATTTCCGGATGCAGTGGCTCACACCTGTAATCCCAACACTTTGGGAGGACCGTTTGAGGCTGGCAGTTTGAACCAGGCTTGGCAACATAGAGAGATGCCATCTCTACAAAAAATTTAAAAATTAGCTGGGGGCAATGGCACGTGTGTGTAGTCCCAGCTACTCAGGAAGCTGAGGAAGGAAGATTGCTTGAGCGCTCTGGGCAACAGAGTGAGACCTTGTCTCAAATAAATAAATGATAAGTATATAAATAAATAAAATTAAAATTAAAATATCCTAATTTTTTCTTCTTTTTCTTTTTTTGAGATGAGGTCTCACTATGTTGCCTAGGCTAGTCTTGAACTCCTGAGCTCAAGTGATCCTTCTGCTTTAGCCTCCCATATAGCTGAGATTACAGGCGCACCACCACACCTGCTAGAATTTCATAATTAAAAGAAGGAAGTGGGAAGTATCAACGTATGAAGGGCTAGGAAGTGAGACTCCCTACTCTACTCTGGGGCAGGACTTGGCAACAATTTTTGGCCCTTTCCCTCATAATTAATTCAGCTGTCCCTCCACAAAACTAGTACCACGTATCATTTGTCCCCTCTTGGGACTGGGAGACTAGAGTTATGCCCAATGGAATGGGGCCAGTCTGAGTGAGCTATGGCCATGGAAAAAAGGATTTATTTTGCTGAGGCAGTTATTATTTGTAAAGTCCACCGATTTTTCTCCCCTGATGTAGGCCTTAGGAGCTGAACTTAGTACTTCCCTTGGGAGGGAGCTAGATTTCCAAAGAAGGAATCTAGAACACAGTTCTTGCTGGGCATGGTAGCTTATGCCTGGAATCCCAGCACTTTGGGAGTTAGAGGTGGGAGGATCACTTGAGCCCAGGAGTTCGAGGCTGCAATGAGCTATGATCTCACCAGTACACTCCAGCCTGGGCAAGAGTGAGACCCTGTCTCAAAAATAAAAATAAAAATAGAACATAACGGAGAAGCTTAGCTCAAGGGGTAAGGCGTACTGGAGGGTTGGGCGGCGGGAGAGTGGTGCTGAGCAGCTGGTTGGCCTCATCCCAGTGGGCCTGCAGCATGGCCTGCAGTCTTTCCACCAGCTCCACCCGCTGCTCCTCCAGCTGCTGGTTCCCACTCTGCAGTTCGCACACTCGCGCTTGCTCCCGGGCCAGTCTGAAGCAAAGAGAGAAGAAGTGACTCAGGGCCTTTAAGGAAGCAGATACTTGGGAGCTAAAAAGAGCCAGAAGGGAAATGTTGGACATCTGATATTCTGAAAGGAGCTGGGGCCCATGTAGAGGAGGACAGATCAATCAAGGGAGCAGCTCTTCACCGTTCCCAGTTTGGGCTCTACCCATGGGAAAGGGGCTGGGGCCTGAAAGGGGCACTCTGGGGACCAGGACCTGAGCTCGTAGTCCTCAGCCACCTGCTGTTGCCGTTCCTCTCGTTCTGCCATTTCCACCTTGAACTGAGCTAGCTGACTGGCCAGCTCCTGCTGGTGCTGTCCACTCAGGTCCTGCAGCTGCTTCCTACAGGGCACAGGTAGGAGAAGAGGCCTGAGACTGGAGACAGAAGAAGTGACCAACTGAGAAAAAGACATCATGTGTGCACATGACAGTGACCCAGATAGCCAGTCAGCTAGCCTGGCCATGGCACAGGAAGCGGCAAGGACAAAGCTGGGGTCTTAGGATGGGTTCCTCAGAAGCAGAGACTTAAATAAATTTATTTCGGAAGCAGTTCCAGAAAATCTCGGCAGCAGAATGGGTGTGAGGAGAAGTGAGGCCAGGCTGCGAGGAGGCTCAGTCCGACAGAGCAGCTCTGGAGACAGCACAGGTCATACCTCAGCACTGTCCCAGTGAGGGAGCTGGACCATCTATCATTCTGCACCCATCAGTTCTTGGTTAAGGGCTACTCCCTATGGGATGAAAATTCCCAGGCACTTCTGGCTCTCCATGAACGCGTGAAGGCAGCCCTCCCGAGAGAGACTCAGGTCCCAGCTGATGGGAGTTAGCGCACCCTGGGAGTCACAGTGCTGGACCATGGCAAAGGGATTGAAGGGAACACAGGCCTGGCACTAACGATACGTGCTGTGGCTGAGAGAAGTGACACCCAGTGAGTCCCACGTACCTGTGATGTTCCCTGAGGGAGGCTGCTTGCCGTAGGCTGCTCTCCTGAGCCTGCGCCAGCCGCTCTGTCACCCGCTGCTCCAGCTGCACAGCCAGCTCCGACTCCAGCTGGATCCGCTGGCTTTCATACCGGGCCTGGAGTGAAGGAAGGTGGGATAACGGCCCAAATCTGTTTGGGCTTAGAAGAGGATGGAGGATATAATGTAGACAAAATCCAGTACCAACTTTCCCCTCATATGAGATGAAGAACAAGAATTTTGCCTCAAGGAGTGAAAGAGGTTCCCTTTCCTTATTAAGATATTCGCACTTTAAACATACATCAAAGTGAAAATGACTATGGGTGAAAGACATAAATTTCTTAGCTAAAATAAATGTTCGACAGAGCAATCAAATCCATTCTACGTGTCTGATATAACATACCCTGAGGCTGGGCGCGGTGGCTCACGCCTGTAATCCTAGCACTTTGGGAGGCCGAGACGGGCGGATCACGAGGTCAGGAGATCGAGACCATCTTGGCTAACACGGTGAAACCCCGTTTCTACTAAAAATACAAAAAATTAGCCGGGCGTGTTGGCGGGCGCCTGTAGTCCCAGCTACTTGGGAGGCTGAGGCAGGAGAATGGCATGAACCTGGGAGGCGGAGCTTGCAGTGAGCCGAGATCGCGCCACTGCACTCCAACCTGGGAGACACAGCGAGACTCCGTCTCAAAAAAAAAAAAAAAAAAAAAAAAAAAAAAAATACCCTGAGTAGAGTACCTGAAAGCCAGTAGACATTCAATAAATGGCAGTGCCTCTTCCTCCTTAAGCAGTCAACCTATAAGTGTCTCCATTTTCTCAGCCACAGTCCTTCAACTCACTAAAATCTGATTTCCACGTATAGTATTTTACTATAAAGAACTCAACCTCTTTTTTTTTTTTTTTTTTTTTTTTGAGATGGAGTCCCTCTCTGTCACCCAGGCTGGAGTGCAGTGGCGCGATCTCGGCTCACTGCAACCTCTGCCTCCCGGGTTCAAGCAATTCTCCTGCATCAGCCTCCCAAGTAGCTGCAACTACAGGTGCGTGCCACCACGCCCAGCTAATTTTTTGTATTTTTAGTAGAGACGGGGTTTCACCGTGTTAGCCAGGATGGTCTCAATCTCCTGACCTCGTGATCCACCCGCCTCAGTCTCCCAAAGAGATTACAGGTGTGAGCCACCGCGCATGGCCCAAAGAACTCAATTTCTAAATCCAAATAGTGGTTATTTCTCAGCCCCTACTTCTGAGACAGAGTCTTGTTCTGTTGCTTAGCCTAAAGTGCAGTGGTGTGATCATGGCTCACTGCAGTCTTGACCTCCCAGACTCAAGAGATCCTCCCACCTCAGCCTCCAGAGTAGCTGGGACTACAAGCTGGTGCCACAACACCCAGCTAATATTTTTATTTTTTGTAGAGATGGGGTCTCATTATGTTGCCCAGACTGGTCTCAAACTCTTGGACTCAAGCAATCCTCCCACTTCAGCCTCCCAAAGTGCTGGGATTACAGGCGTGAGCCACCACACCTGGCCCTTTCTGTCTTTTTTTTTTTTGAGACTCGGTCTCGCTCCTGTCACCCAGGCTGGAGTGCAGTGGTGTGATCACGGGTCACTGCAGCCTCTACTTCCAGGGTTCAGTTGATCCTCCCACCTCAGCCTCCCGAGTAGCTGGGACTACAGGTGCATGCCACTATACCCGGCTAAGTTTTTGTATTTTTAGCAGAGTTTAGGTACTGCCATATTGCGCCCAGGTTGGTCTTGAACTCCTGGGCTCAAGCAATCTGCCCGTTTCGGCCTCCCAAAGTGCTGGGATTCCAGGTGCGAGCCACCACACCCGGATGCTTTCTTAGTCTTTATCGCATGTGATCTCATTGTAACACCTGAAGCCCTAGGTCAATTCTTTTTTTTTTTTTTTTTTTGAGATGGAGTCTCACTCTGTTGCCCAGGCTGGAGTACACTGGTTCAATCTGGGCTCACTGCAACCTCCACCTCCCGGGTTCAAGCGATTCTCCTGCCTCGGCCTTCTTAGTAGCCGGGACTACAGGTGTGCACCATACACCTGGATAATTTTTGTATTTTTAGTAGAGACAGGGTTTCACCATGTTGGCCGGGCTGGTCTCAAACTCCTGGGCTCAAGTGATCCACCCGCCTTGGCCTCCCACAGTGCTGGGATTACAGGCATGAGCCACCATACCGGGCCAAAGGATTGTGGTTCTCAAATGCTGGCCTCACTGGTACCTCCTTAAGTTAACCATTTATAAGGAACATAGCCTCTCAGACTGGCTTGCACCTGGAAAATTCATCAATTTGTCCTTACACATTTTATACATAAAAACAGAGGCCCATAAAGGTCAAAATTCTAGCTAGAAGTAGACGTAAGTGCCCTAAGTCCTAATGCAATACTCTTTCCTCTTCAACGCTGTGTCTCCCCCATGGGCTGGAACACAGCTCTCTCCAATCCTTTCCTCTATTCTGGAGATCGGCGAACTACAGCCCAATTCAGCCCTCCATTGCCTGTTTAGATAAGTTGTACTAGAACACAGCTGTGCCCATTTGTTTACGTACAGTTTATAGCTACTTCTGTGGTATAACAGCAGAGTTGGGTAGTTGCAACTGAGACCATACAACCCACAAAGCTAAAAATATTTACTGTCTGGCCCTTTACAGAAAAAGTTCGCCAACTCCTGCTCTATTCCATGGCAAGAGTCCGACTAGTTTGAATTTAAAATTCAGTGTGTTAGCTAGATGGAAAGAGTTTTTCAAAGTGTAATTATATCTGACAAACAATTTTTGAGTACAATTCTGTGCCAGGCCATGTGCTGTTATGGAAGTTTCATAAGTAAATTAAAAAATCATTGCCCTCCTGGGTCCCTGACCTACTCAGAGAAATTAATACAAGTTATTCAAGTAATGAGAATTACAAAGCACACTGTTACAATTGGAATCAAGTCTCTGACAAAAGCTTTCACCTGCTCTGTCAACCCACTAAGTGTGGTGTCATCTCTTAAAATAACATAAGGTATCTTTAATAGATTTAAATCTATTTAATCCTAAAAGTAACACTAGGTCAGTCTGACATATTGTGGGAAATGGTCACTCAGTAAGAAATAGCTCTGAGTTTAGGACAGAAAACTACCCATACTACATAGAAACTGTTAATGGAATTAAACCCCAAACACCTGAACTGGGAGTGTCTGCCACAACTCCTGAGAGGTCCCTCTGCCTCAGATCTACTTCTGTCAGAACAAAACCTCAAGAAACCTCTGCCTTCTGACCTGCACCAAGCTCATTTCCAGCTGCAGGGCATCTCTCTCTCTCCGAGCTGTATCCAGCTCTCCTTCCAGCCGCCGCACCTCAGACTGCACCAATGCCAACTGGTGCTGGGTCTCCCAGGCGGCCTGGGCTTCCCTCTGGCTCTTCTCCTATGAAAGACAAATCAAATGTATATACATACCTCATTTCTTATCTCCTGGTTACCTACACTCCCCAGTTCATCCTCCCAAACCCTAAAATCCAAGCTTCCCCCAGCTCCTCCCATTTGTTTTATTTCCCCATCCCTGTTGAATTTCAGTCTTTGGCCTTTCACGTATTCATTACCCCCAGCCCTTCCTGCTGGCCCTATACTCTCAACCTTGTCTCCCACACATGGCTCTCTACTCTCCATTCCTGCCTATATGTATCCCCCATATTCTAACATTCCATCCCATTCAATTATTTTGCCCTTCATCTACTCCCTAGTTCCTCAGCTCTTCCAACTGCCACTTTTACCTTCTCCCTTTCCAGCTGAGCCTGGCTCTCCTCCTGCAGCGCCTGGTAGTGTTCCTTAAGCTGGTGCTCTTGCTGGGCCCAGGTCTGCCGTTCTTCTTCTAGGGCAGCCCGAAGAGTCTCCAACTCTCGATGCTCACTCAGTTGCCCAGCCCGAGCTGCATCCCGCTCTTCCTGCAGGACACAGCACCGCTGCTGTTCTGCCTCCAACCTCAGAGTCAGAGCTTGCCTTTCCTCCTCCTACAGCCGCAGAAGAAAACCAAGCTCCTTAGTAGGCTCTTCAGAGACCAGCGATCTGCCCTCTGACCCTCATACAAGGTGCCTGCTGAGAATTATGCTCATTAAAAACACAATAATTAGGCCGGGTGCGGTGGCTCACACCTGTAATCCCAGCATTTTGGGAGGCCAAGGCAGGCAGATTACCTGAGGTCAGGAGTTTGAGACCAGCCTGGTCCAACATGGTGAAACCCCATCTCTACTAAAAATACAAAAATTAGCCAGGCGTGGTGGTGGGTGCCTGTAATTCCAGCTACTTGGGAGGCAAAGGCAGGAGAATCGCTCTAACCTGGGAGGTGGAGGTTGCAGTGAGCTGGGATCACACAACTGCACTCCAGCCTAGGCGACATCGAGCAAGACTCCATCTCAAATAAAACCAAAAGAAACCCCACAATAGTTGACAGGCGCAGTGGCTCATGCCTGTAATCCCAGCACTTTGGGAGGCTGAGGCAGGCAGATCATCTGAGGTCAGGAGTTTGGGACCAGCCTGGCCAACATGGTGAAACCATGTCTCTACTAAAAATATAAAAATTAGCTGGGCATGGTGGTGCACACCTGTATTCCCAGCTACTCAGGAGGCTGAGGCAGGAGAATTGCTTGAACCTGGGAGGCGGAGGTTGCAGTGAGCCAAGATTGTGCCACTGAACCCTAGCCTGGGCAACAGAGCGAGACTCCATCTCAAAACAAACAAACACAATAGTTGACAAGCTCATAGGATTATAATATAGTAGATAAGAGTTCCTGTTCCAGAGCCAGGTAGACCTGGGTTCAAATCTCAGGTTCGAATCCTGGTTCTGGAATTTACTATGTGTTCTTAGGCATACATTCTTATCTGTAAACTGGAGATCATAACAGGGTCTGCCTTCTGAGCATTAAAGTAAAAAGCATATGTAAGGCATTTAGCACGGCATCAGGCACATAGTAAGTACTCAATACACAATAGTTACCACCATCATCGTCAAAAGAAATTCCACTAAGACTAGAATATCCAGCCTATAATCGTGAACCATCACCCATCATCATCAGGACTGTCAGATATAGCCTGTTAAGACTACAAGTACCAGCATGCATGTAGCAAGCATGCATTATGCATGCAACAAGTTCCAATCCCAGCTACTAATTCATATGGCTAATCACCTTATCATTTCAGCTCTAAGAGACTTGAGTGAAGTGGCTGGGTATGGTGGCTTATGCCTGTAATCCCAGCACTTTGGGAGGCCAAGGCGGGCAGATCACTTGAGGTCAGGAGTTTGAGACCAGCCTGGCCAACATGGCGAAACCCCGTCTCTACCAAAAAAATACAAAAATTAGCTAGGCGTGGTGGTATACGCCTGTAGTCCCAGCTACTTGGGAGGCTAAGGTGGGAGAATCGCTAGAATCCAGGGGGCAGAGGCTGCAGTGAGCTGAGATTGTGCCACTGCACTCCAGCCTGGACAACAGAGCGCGACCCTGTCTCAAAAAAAAAAAAAAAAAAACACGAAAAGAAACTTGAGTTAGTCAATTTCATACCTTTTTTGGCCATGCCCTACACCAGAGGTCCCAAACCAGATTGAAAAAAATCACCCAGGAAATTTCTGAAAAGATTTGAGTTCCACCATATATCTACTGAATCAAAACCTCTGCAGGTGAGTCCCAGAAATCTTTATTTTATTTTATTTTTTATTTTTATTTTTTGAGATGGAGTCTCACTCTGTCACCCAGGCTGGAGTGCAGTGGCTTGATCTCAGCTCACTGCAACCTCTGCCTGCTGGGTTCAAGCAATTCTCCTGCCTCAGCCTCCCAAGTCGCTGGGACTACAGGCATGCACCACCATGTCCAGCTAGTTTTTTGTATTTTTAGTAGAGACGGGGTTTCACCATGCTGGCCAGGCTGGTCTCAAACTCCTGACCTCATGATCTGCCTGCCTTGGCCTCCCAAAGTGCTGGGATTACAGGGGTGAGCCACCGTGCCTAGCCTATATTTTAAAATAATTCTTCAGATGACACTAATATTCTAATGATGATACAATTTGCAGAGTTTCTCAAACCGACTTGGTAGCAGAGCCTTTTTTTTTAATAGAATATCTAGCTGAATTAGTGTTCTAAGGAACACACTTTGGGAAACAGTGCTCTGGTGCAACTCAAATTATAATCTCCCACAATCCACCAATAGCCCACAGCTCTCTAGAAGTAATTAACAGCTTCCAGTGGAATTAACCCAGTCCAATCTTCTCACCAGTGTCTCTCTTTCCCGTTGCTGCAGTCTGGCACTTTCCTGCTCACGATTCAGGGCCTCCATGGCCTCAGAAAGGCTTTGTTCCAGGCGGGTTACTGTCTTTCAGGAAGAGAGGAATACAGGGCAGAGGAACTGTGGGAAATCTGTGTGTGCTATATTTTATAAAGCATTGACAATGTAAACTTGAAACTTCACAGTTAACTAAATGACTAAGGGGCCAGATAGAAGACTACATGGTGTGGGAAAAATTAAGACATTGATGATTCAAGTTGGACAGCAGAAACGGTTAAAGGAGAAGAAAGGAGGGATGAGAAGAAATGTCAGGACAGCCACTACAAGACTGAGGTCAATCTGTTGGAAACCCTAATTCCAGAGCTATTTCTGCCCCTTTCCATCTTGAGATCTGTGACTCAGGTTCTAATGCCATATGCTCCAGGGCGCTCACCTCCTGCTGCTTGCTTCTGGTGAGCTCTGCTGCCTGGTGTTCCTCTTGAAGTCCCCTGAGAACCTCTGTCCGCTCAGCCTCATGCCGGTTCCAGCCCTCCACCACACGGGCCAGGGTCTTAGGTAGGGCAAGTAAGATGAAATTTCAAAATAACTTTTTTGCCTCTTTCTACCCACAGGGGCAGGGTCAACAGCCATCTTCTCCCAACAGTCAGCAAACCAACCCCTTGCCCAGCTCTCAGCATGTACCAAGAAACATTGGTTGGCCACCCACTTATTTATTATTCCTTAATGCTCTTCATGGAGAGACCCACCCACATTTTGCTACCCTGGTACCTTGTCCAGTTGTTCAATCATGGTATCTTTCTTGCGGTCGGCAGCCACAGCCACGGCTAATTGTTGCTGTAGCTCTAACACTCGGGTCTGCAGGCTCTGAATATGGCGCTCACAATGCTGGGGAAAAGGGTGAGGAGTCTGGGTGTTGCCCATCTTTGGTATGACCACAGCACCAAACTTTCCAGCTCCTCTAGTGGGGGAGTGGGCTGGAGCCAAGAAGCTTGGGTCCCAAGAACAGAATAGGTCTGGAGAGGGAGAATCAGGAAAATTCTGAAGCAAGCACCTTGAGGCTCAAGATCTCCAACATGTTTCTGTACCTTTTCAGGAGATAAGTGCTTAGATTCCAGGCTCCTCCTTTTCCTGGATCTCCTGAGTAAAAATCCCATAAACCTTTTGGCAGAGATGCAGCAGCCCACACAGCAAAATGTGCAAAGTTACTCCTACCTTCAGAAGCTCATTGGACACAATGAATAAACACAGCAAGGATAAAGGGGAAAGCCTTTCATTCATGCCAAGGGGTTTAACATGGAGAAAGAGAGGCTTCCAAAAATGGCAACCAGTGATTTTGACTTTTCCTCTCCTTTGTCTATTTCTCTGTCCCCTTCAGACACTAAGGCAGAGGCTCACAGAGATAAAGCTCAGTATATCACCAGTAGCTGTAAATCCTGTGCACAAGCTAGCAGAGTTTGTGTCCATTCGACAAACACAGAGTGTTTCTGTGTTATGTATATTCTAGACCTTAGGCAGCCAGTACTAAGACAAACAAGATACGGACCCTCAAATTTTAGAGAGGAGAAAAAAACAAGATATATCAGAACGATAAGCTACATGAAAGAAATAAGAAGGCGATCTGACTACTTGGAAAGGAGGTGGTGCCATATTAGATGGAATGGTCAAAAAAGCCCTCCTCAGAAAAACATTTAAGTCCCAGCTTTCAGGCTCTTAACCCTCAGCCCTTTTCTTTTTTAGTTTTTTTTTTTTGAGACGGAGTCTCGCTCTGTCGCCCAGGCTGGAGTGCAGCGGCATGATCTCGGCTCACTGCAAGCTCCGCCTCCCAGGTTCACGCCATTCTCCTGCCTCAGCCTCCCGAGTAGCTGGGACTACAGGCACCCACCACCATGCCCGGCTAATTTTTTCTATTTTTAGTAGAGACGGGTTTCACCGTGTTAGCCAGGATGGTCTCGATCTCCTGACCTCGTGATCCGCCTGCCTCAGCCTCCCAAAGTGCTGTGATTACAGGCGTGAGCCACCACGCCAGGCCCCCTCAGCCCTTTTCAACACTTGGGTCCCCTCTTTCTAATCTTTGCTGCTTTCGAAAGGAAGCGTTTGCATCTTACCTTGCGGCGGGTATGCTCTGAATCCAATGCATCTCTCAGCCCCTGAAAATCTGGGGGATTGAGTGGAGGCCCTGGCCGAAGGCTGGTGTAGCGGGGAAACAGCTCCTCCAGGGCTTGGGCTGAGCTAGATGGAGACAAGTCTTGCAGGGGCCGGGTGCTGAGCAAATCAGGTAGAGAATGTTAGGGCTGGGAAAGCTTTTGGAATCCACTTGTCCAACTGTGATATTCTACAAATGAGGAAACTGAGACCCAGAGAGGGCAAGAGACTTGTCCAAAGTCGTAAAGCTATATAACCATAGTGCTATAAATAACACACAGGTCTGTGATTCACTTAAAGGTTTCAGCAGAAACAAGCTAACTCTTTAGAGGGGAAGAATGACTGCAGGTTAAGAGAAAGCCAGGTACTAGGCAACAGATACCTGTGTTCCTGAAGGAGTAAAGGGGGCAGGAGACAGTAGAAAAAGATGAAAACTGAAAGGCAAGTGATAAGCCTCTTGGGTTCTTAAGAGGTACAAAAGCAATAAAGGGAGAAATAAGGAACAAAACACCTGGATTTCCAAGAAAGCAAACAAGCTAGGAGAACCACAAGGAGAACTCACTTGAGCAAGGTGGCTGTGCTATCACTGTCAAAGGAGTCCTCTTCCCGTCTCTCTGAGCCAGCGCCAGGAATGAGAGGATCCCCTGCAGGCAGCCAGAGGGACCCCAAAGCCAGAGTCAGGTAATGACAAAAACAGGGGCCACCTGAAGAGAAAAGGCCTTCCTTTCCAGTTCCCTCACTCCTTCACCCCCTCTCCCAAAGAACGGGAGACTTTTCTCCTGAAATCTCTTGCTCAGAGGTTTTCCTGCCTGCTTCCTCTGTCCACTTTCTCCCACCCCTTACATCTAGGTTCTCCTTCATAGTTCTAGGGAAGGGGCTTACTCACGATAGGCTGTATCACGTGAGGTTTGGAGCATGGTCTGGAGCTGACCCCGAACACTTTCCATCTCAAAGATATGCTTAGAACCATCCTGGAAAAAAGCCACATGGAAATCAGATGCAGTCTGTGTTATCTATCTCCTACCTATTGCCAGGGTAGAATTTTCACTCCAGCACTTTGGAAAACAAGAAAAACCAAACGGATCCAATAAGGGATGTCCTAAACTTGAATCAGAAATTCAAATACTACAGAAGCCAGAAAGAGAGTGTAAATAAAATAATCGAGGAGGTATAAGACAAGAGTTGCGGAGATTCTTGCCGATTCAAGAACAAATGTAAGGACTGTATGGCTTATGGCTATCATTTTCAAACTCTGGAAGACCTAACCAGTCTGCAAATTGACTCTGACACCTTTTCTATACAATACTAATAACTATCTTCTCTGTAACATGTTGTAGTTGACTAAGCTATGTCTTAATGATGTACATGCCAAAGTTGGAACCATACTATCAACATAGTGTTGAGCTGGAAGGATCGGAGCTGCTATCCTAAGTCCCTAGCTCCCTCTTGGGATCAAGAAACCTTACCCATTCCCAGTGCACGGGAAATAGCTCACCAACCTACCCCATAGGTTTGCTCTATCTACTCGGAGCAGAGATGTCTCTCACAAAAAAACACTGGGAAGTTTCATAATTTTCAAATTATGGTGTCCCAGGTCACTCCCTCCCTTATAAGCATGGCTGCCTATGCAGTTAAAAGGAATATGAAATCCAACAGGAAGAGTTCAAATCTCATCAAAGCTTTTTATTTTTACCAACCCCAATCCCAAGACTCTCTGGTGTCTAGTGCCACAGTGGTCTCCAAGACACACTTCCCTCACCTTTTTCTTCAAGTTCTTTTCCAATCCGACTGACAAGCTTCGACTCAATTCTTGGGCGAAGCCGTCTAACCCTTCATGAGGCGGGGAGGTGGAGGGTAAATACAGCTGGGCTCGGGCCGTGGCCTCCGCCTGCCGGCTGAGGCGCAAAGAAGCATAGAGCTGGGAGGTCACTTCAGACGACACTTGGTTGAGCCCAGGGGGTTCTGATGAATCACTCAGGAGATCCTCCGCCCCGAGGGGTGAACTGGGGCTGTCAGCTGATGTTGCCATGAATACAGGGAAGAGACAACCGGAGACAGCAAAGAGCTGGGAGGTTCTGCTTTAGCAAAGTCCAGGAGGAAAAGTTCACGGAGAAAGACTTGGGAGAAGGGAGGAAGACTCCACGCCAAGGATCCTTGGTGAATTAAGGATATCGAGGCTTTCTGGTTAGAGGAAAGGTTTCCACCAGTTCCAGGGGCCATGGGAGTGGGCAAAAGCATCCCTTTCCCCAGCTCCTGGGAACAGCGTTAAGAGGGTGCAGCGCAGAGCGGGTGCGGACAGAAGACCTACTGTGGGACAACAGCGCTGCTGAAGCTCCTCTTCCCGACTACGAGTGCTGGAAGCTGCAGATCAACTCCGGCACAGGCTATCCCCGGTCAACTGAGCTCTTAAGTTCTCACACCCAAAACGTCCCAACGGAAACGGACCCAAATCCACTAGGAGCCCAATTTCTGTCCCCCTGCCCTACTAGTCCCTCAATTGGTTCCAGTCTCAAGAGAGGGCGGAACCTCACGCTCCCCCATCCCTTCACCCGTTCTACCCAGGGTCAGCTCCAGCTCCCTTGTACTTTCCCTTCGACCCCTCCTGGCAAGAAAGCCATAGCGAGCTTCCTTGTTCCCTAGAATCTCTCCCTCCCGACCACCCCAAAAGAAACCTTGTGAACCCTCAGTCACGCCCTAAGTCGTCCCTAAGAAGCACGCCGCCCTCAAGCCTAGCCCGAGATCCTCTGCCCCGACGACCACCTGGTTCCGCCTACTCTCCACCCTTCCAGTCCTCAGTCCCCAATTTGCCAAAGTGGGGGGCAAGCGATTGACCTCCTCCCCTGAGATCCCCCTCTCACGCCTCCCCCTACGCTCAAAACCGTTGGCAGCCTCCCGCCCACTGTCCACGGCTCCGCCTCTCTCGCCTCGATGACGTCACCCGCCCGCGAGACCACGCTCGCAGACACTCACATCACTTCTGTATCCCGAGCGCCTGGCCGCGCGTGCGCGGCTCCGGTGGCCACAGATTGGCTGAGGGAGGGAGGCGGAGTCTGACAAGCAGCACTGGAGCGGAGTTAATGCCCAGCCGCGGCCGAGCGAGAACCCCCCTAAGGGGCGGAGCTCCGTGGAAACCGGAAGTAACTCTTGACGGGCACTCGGAGCAGTTCCGGTGAGTCCGTGGGTGGGGTCCCCACCTGGTTGGAAGGCTGTGGGTCCGGGAACCCGAGCCCAAGGAGTGGGGGCGGCCCCGGAGCGAGGCTCACACTCCCTGCCCTGCAGATGACTGTCCACAACCTGTACCTGTTTGACCGGAATGGAGTGTGTCTGCACTACAGCGAATGGCACCGCAAGAAGCAAGCAGGGATTCCCAAGGAGGAGGTGACGAGAGGGCCCCGGTGCAGCCCGGGCGACCTCTCATCTCCAAACACCTATAGTCCCAACCCAGCCCCTCCTCTCCAAACCCCAGCTCGTTCCCACCCCCCACCCCATCTCCCGCATCAACCGAGAGCTAACTCTGCCCCTCTCCCTCCAGGAGTATAAGCTGATGTACGGGATGCTCTTCTCTATCCGCTCGTTTGTCAGCAAGATGTCCCCGCTAGACATGTACGCGGAGTCAGAGAAGATGTTGGGAGGAGGGCTAGCCTTGGGAATTTGGGGATGGGGGAAACTTTCTGAAGTGGAAGGAGCATTGGCCTCCAGAGGGGGGAAAGGGTACTTAAGAGAGGCTGAGTCCGGAGCGAGAGTGCTGGAGCTGGCAGGAGTGGGGGTGGGGAGGGTCTGAAAGTAGAGAAGTTGGTGGGGGCTAAATTGAGGGGTGACGATGGGCGATGTCTTTACTCAACCAGGCTTCTACAAAGGATATGTTTAGATAAAGAGGGAGTCGATGTTTGCGGGGATCAGAAGTGTCTCTTTGGGAGAGATTCTGCTCCCATTCTTTAACACCCTCCTCATCTCTGCAGGAAGGATGGCTTCCTGGCCTTCCAAACTAGCCGTTACAAACTCCATTACTACGAGACGCCCACTGGGATCAAAGTTGTCATGAATACTGACTTGGGCGTGGGACCCATCCGAGATGTGCTGCACCACATCTACAGTGCGGTCAGTGCCAGCCCCAGGGACCCATCCCCCAGAGCTCTTCAGAACCCCAAGACTCCCTCATCTCCCCTGCCCCAATCCTACTATATGTTTGCTCAACTCAAGAGTTTTCTCAGGGGCCCTTAGGTTCTTAACTCCCACCACCACTTTCTCCTCAGAGAGGGCTTGCCTTCCAGCCCTTATTCCTTGTGCATTCACACACCCCTGAGGTTATACAAGGTTTGGGGCTAAAAACCAGAAGTATCCAAAGCCTGGCTCTAACATCTTCCCTTTCCATAGCTGTATGTGGAGCTGGTGGTGAAGAATCCCCTGTGCCCGCTGGGCCAAACTGTGCAAAGTGAGCTCTTTCGCTCCCGACTGGACTCCTATGTTCGCTCTCTGCCCTTCTTCTCCGCCCGGGCTGGCTGAAGCAACCTACCTCAAGTCTCAGGAGAATTCATGTCTGCCTGGGGCCCTTCCGAACCTGTGCCAACTAAGGGCCCCCACTGTAAGCCCCCGCACCCCCACCCCCTGCCCAGAGCAACAGCCTAAAGGCCTGCCCTGATGCTCTCCTCCTACCAGAGTGAAGCCCACAGAGTCCCTCCACCTCCACACCAGGCCCTCTCTCCAGTTTTATCCCCTGCCTAATGCTGCGAGAAGCACAGAATAAACTTTTTGTCACTCTCTGCGGCCTGAGCGTGTTGGTTTGAGGGCCCTCTCAGTCCTGCCCCACGCATGAAGGTGGAAAGTAGGGCAGCCACACCCCCTGGAGGGCCACGAAGTGGCTTTGCGGATGGGTTTCTCAACCGTGGGAATATTGATGCTTTGAGCTGGATAATTCTTTATTGTGGGGACCGTCCTGTGCTTTGTAGGATTTTAGCATCCCTGGCCACCACCCACTAGATGCTGATAGCACAGGCATGAAATCAAAAATATCTCCAAACCTTGCCGAAAGTACGCTGGGAGATACATTCCCTCCCGATTGAGAATCACTGGGCCGGGGGAAGCCTGACAGCCCTTGGGTCCCAGAGGGTGCAGGAGCCATCCTCCCCAATTCCGCTCAGAAAATATTCAAGCTGCAGAGCCTTCAGCAGGCGGGGCTTATGCAGATGAGCGGCAGGTTTGGCTGAGAGGAGGGCGGCTCTATGCAGATGAGGAGGCGGTGCCTGCATGCTGATGAGCTGGGCCCGCTGCCGACGCGGCTGGGAGCCCAGCGGGTCCCGCAGCGGTTCGCGCTGAAGTGGCATCTCTCTCCCGCCCCGCTTCCCCCTGGGTCCTTATCCTCCGAGACCTTTACCTCATCCTCGACCTTTACCCTCATCCATTTCCCCCTCCTAATCCTTGCTCCTGTGTCCCCCGTAACTGAATATCTCCACTCCTGGCGCCCCCCACGTTTCTTCCCTCCCGCCGCAAACCTCGCGACCTCCAGCAGCCCGCCCCCGCGGGCCCGATCCTGCCTGGCGGCTCCCGCCGCAGCCTCCTCAGCCTTCCCGCTCTGCCGGGGTTCGCCCCACTACGCCCCCGGTCGTCAGCCCTCGGGCTTCCCTGCTCCCCCCTCCCGTCCCCTCGGAGCCCCCTCCCCCGCCTCGGCCAGCCAGCATGCAGGTGTCTATCGCGTGTACCGAGCAGAACCTTCGCAGCCGGAGCAGTGAGGACCGTCTGTGTGGACCCCGGCCGGGCCCCGGGGGCGGTAATGGTGGGCCGGCCGGCGGGGGGCACGGGAATCCTCCGGGGGGTGGAGGGTCTGGCCCCAAGGCCCGAGCTGCACTGGTTCCCCGACCCCCAGCGCCCGCTGGGGCCCTCCGAGAGAGCACCGGCCGAGGCACTGGCATGAAATACAGGTATGGGGGTGGCCGGGCAGCCCACCCCTTCCGCTTTCCTTTCGGGACCCCTGAGACTGCTTGAGATGGCCGCCAAGACCCCTTCAAACTTCACTAAGTAGGTCTCCCTTCTTTCCATCTCTTCTTTCTGTCTCTGGCACTCCCTCACTTTGTCCCTCTCTTGGTTTCTGTCGATACCCCTGACTACGAGAATCAAGTTTACCAAGGTTGACTGGGTCCTGTCAGACCCAGGGGATGCCCCTGAGCTTCCCTCCTTACCCCTGGGAAGGTCAGGGATGCATGGATCTCCACGCTACACGGATCTCCAGGCTATGCCTCCTCCAGTGGAGTGTCCTTGGGTCCGTGTCCTGGGGAGTGGAGGGAGGGAATCAGCTTCTCACTCTGGCCTGCTCGGGGTGCCTGACCCAGATACTGCCCCTGCCTGCCCCAAAGGCTAGGTCTTCTGCGACCTTTCTTGGGTGCAAGGGGAGTGGGGCCGGTGGGAAGGATGGACCACATTTTTCATCTCCATGCTGAGGGACAGGGTCTGGGTAGACTGAAATGTAACTGACTTTATCTCAGAGGACTGCCAGACCAGAAGCTCAGAACCTGAAGTAGGGGGTAGAGGAGGGGCTCCTGCTTGGGAGTGAGCTGAGGTCACTGATCTGACCTGCTTTGTCACCTGAGGAATCTGATCCCCTCTATATGGTGGCCCTGATTGGAAAGCTGAGCTGACACCTGGGTTGGGGGCTTTGGGAGGATGAGGGGGCTCACTGGTTCAGAGACAGTCTTCACAAGTCAATAGGAACAGAGGGAGTGGAGAGGGAGAACTAGGCTTTTCTGTCTTACTCTCCCCCCTCCCCCCAGGTCCTCAATCTGCCTTTCCTCCAGGCCCATCTGCCTAGCCTAGCCAGGGACCCCTGTCTGTCTGAATGCCTGAACTTGACTTGGTTTACCTCTTCCAACCTGCCATCTACCATTTGGCACAGCACTCTGCCTGAGGGCCTGGTCTCACAAACTCACCACAATCAAACAAAATTCCTCCCAGCCCCTCACTGCACACAACCCACAGATGACTCAAACACAGACAAGACCCCAGAAGAAGGACAAACCAGACTGCACGTCTTCAATGTGATAAGAGGGAATGGAGACTCTGGACAGTGGCTCCAGAGGAACAGTCACATATGGTTCACTTGTCCTTTTGAGAAAATTCCTAGGACCTCTGCTCTGGAGATAGCACTTGCCCAATCTTATAGGCCCACTGGGTCTAATTTCTTTGGACTGAGACACCTGAGGGCTTCTCAGTCTGGAAGGAGAGGAGCTGGGGGCTGATAATCTAAGTCCATAATGGAGGCTCCACCCCTTCCCGCTGCTTCTGTATCTTGCAGGAACCTAGGGAAGTCTGGTCTTCGGGTATCCTGTCTTGGCCTAGGTGAGTCAGAATAGGGATTAAGGAAAGGAGGGCATTCTTTCATGGTCTGCCCCCTGCAGTTCTCATGTGCCTGGCTTCTCTCTTGCAGGTACCTGGGTCACATTTGGTTCTCAGATCTCAGATGAGGTATAAGTTATCGGACCTAGAATCAGGGTGGTGGGGGTGAGGGAACTTGAAAAAAGGGAAGTGAACCTGGATAGGGGTTTGGACAACAAGCACAGGGAATGAGGGATCTGAGGCTGGAGGATGGGGAGAGGGGAGAGACTAGAGAACCCAGGGCTGAGATGTGATGGGTTAGAGTACAGTGAGGGAGGTAACTGAGGAGCAGTAGTTGATCTTTACCTCTTTCACCTCCCTAGACAGCAGAGGATGTGCTGACTGTAGCCTATGAGCATGGTGTAAACCTGTTTGACACCGCCGAAGTGTACGCAGCAGGAAAGTAAGGACTGGGGTGAAAGAGCTAAGCTCCATTTGGAAGGCTGAGAGGACCCCAGGGATTATCTTCTCGTTTTCCCTCTAAAGAACCCTGGGACTTCTGAGAACGTGAAGTTCCAACCTTTTGGCGGAGGGACCCGAAAGCACTGTAGGAGCTACAGTCCCAACATTAGTCCCTCTCTGGCTTAGAAGTCAATGGGCGTACTGTGCAGCTACATTAAATAAAGGCAACAAATATATCTGAGGCATTAGTTATGTGCAACTACAAAGATGAATTTTCAAACACATCATGCCGTTTCACACTAGGAGCAGGGAAAACCTAGGATGACCTACCCTGCCTCTTCCCCATCTAGCAAACACTTCTGCTCATCTTCAAGACTTGACCCGAGTGTCCGCTCCTTCAAGAACTTTGCCCAACTCCCCAGAGTTGGTCACCCCCTCCCCCACCATGAGCTCCTAAAGCACTGTGGACTGCCTTCTGACACGCAATTCGTGGTTTATGCAGCTATATTAGCTGCTCAAGTCAGAGGCCTCCTTCCATGGAACTTGTCTTGCTCTTCCCCAAGTACCCACACAGAGCCTGGCACAGAGCAGGTGCTGCTTCTGGGAAGAATCAACATGTCTGCGAAAGTGCACACAGTCTAAGTGGTTAAAGGAAAAAAAAAGGGCAATAGGAAAGATTAAACAACGGTAAAACATTTCAGTAACAGTCCACCATGACAACTTAAGACTTGTCATAAGTGAGCTCATAATTTTATGCTAAATTATGTAGCCAATTCTGTGGAAGCTGACCAGAAGGCTGGACCATAGATTGTGGCACTCAGAGAACACATTATGGATGAGGCAGAATTTGAGCTGAGCTTTGGAGGACGGGTGGGATTTTGCAGAGGCTCAAAGAAGGAGGAGGGCAACCCAGATAGTTGAAGCCAGACAAGGCAGTGTCCTTCCTGGCTCCACCATAGTTGGCCCCTCTCCCCTCATCCTATTCTATCTTTTTGGCACCCACAGCAGGGCTTGGTACACAGCTAATGCACAACAGATATTTGTTGAATATGTGATGAAAACTATACAACTACACCCCTAGTTCCTTCCAACAGACCTCTTATTTTGTCCAGGATGGGGCTGTGAGCTGAAATGGACTCCTGGTTTATATCCTACTTTGCAAGAGAGGAAAAGGTGGGGAGGAGAGGAAGGAATTGATTGGCCTAGAAGGGATCAGTGGCTCTGCCTTATGTTTCTTTTAGGGCTGAAAGAACCCTAGGGAACATCCTCAAGAGCAAAGGTTGGAGGTGAGACTGTTTTGGGGGGTTGCTGGGGATGTGATCACCCAAAAATCCTTTTCTTACTGGTTCTCCCATTTCTATTCTTCCAGGAGATCAAGCTATGTCATCACTACCAAGATTTTTTGGGGAGGACAGTAAGTGGCTGCCCCACTGCGATTGTGGAGAAGGCCTACAAAGAATGTGTGAAGGTGTATGGGGTGGGGGTGGGGACAGCTATCCTGCACCAGGTCCGCACCATGCCTGTGAAGACTCGTGCAATCCCATTTCCTTATGGCTCCAAGCCAGCCCCGGTCCCCTATCTTTGTCACATCTCATCTTTGACTTACCTTTTCCTACAGGGCAGAAACCGAGCGAGGTTTAAGCCGAAAGCACATCATTGAGGGTGAGAGTTAGGGGCTGGAAACCCAAAGTGAGGGGATATGGAAGCCAGAGGAGTAGGGAACATTCTCTGAACTTCTGGAGGCTTTGAATAGGGATTTAGGTGGCCATGGCAAGGGGGCAAGGTCTGAATTCTTTTTTTTTTTTTTTTTTTTTTGAGACGGAGTTTCACTCTTGTTGTCCAGGCTGGAGTGTAATGGCACGATCTCGGCTCACTGCAACCTCCTCCTCCCGGGTTCAAGGGATTCTCCTACCTCAGCGTCTCGAGTAACTGGGATTACAGGCACACGCCACCACGCCTGGCTAATTTTTTGTATTTTTAGTAGAAATGGGGTTTCACCACGTTAGCCAGGCTGGTCTCAAACTCCTGACCTCAGGTGATCCGCCCACCTCGGCCTCCCAAAGTGCTGGGATTACAGGCATGAGCCACCACGCCTGGTGGCCTGCATTCTTAGTACACTGAAGCTGAGGTGCTTATTTTCTTCTCCCTACCCCACCTCCAGGCTTGCGAGGATCCCTGGAACGCCTCCAGCTGGGATACGTGGACATTGTCTTTGCCAATCGCTCAGACCCCAACTGTCCTATGGAGGGTAAAAGCAGCACCCCCAAACCTTACAGTCCTTCAAAACTGAGCACTTCCTTGCTGGGTGCGGTGGCTCATTCCTGTAATCCCAGGACGTTGGGAGGCCAAGGCAGGAGGATCACTTGGGGCCTGGAGTTCGAGAACAGTCTGGGCAACATAGCAAGACCCTGTCTCTACAAAAAATGTTTTAAAATTAGCTGGCTGTGGTGGTGTGTGCCTTGTACTCCCAGCTGTTCAGGAGGCTGAGGCAGGAGGATCATTCAAGCCCAGGAGTTTGAGGCCACAGTGAGCTATGATTGCACCACTGAACTACATCCTGAGTGACAGAGTGAGACCCTGTCTCAAAAAATCTAAAATACAAAAATTGAGCACTTCCTCAAACCCTCAGCAGGAAGCCAGCCCCTGCTCAGAAGGCCTCCAAAACTCCACAGTGGAGGCTGAGACTCCAGGATGTGGACAGGAAGAGAGGCAAAGAGTAGATATTAACTTTCATGACTCCATAGAGTTGCCTGGGGCCTTGGTGGGGCAGGTGGAGGTCTGCAAATCTGGAGTCTTAGATTCCAGGGCTCTGACAGTAAGGCTTTCCCTCTCCTGTGTACCTAGAGATTGTGCGAGCCATGACCTATGTCATCAACCAGGGCCTGGCCCTATACTGGGGGACATCCCGATGGGGGGCTGCAGAAATCATGGTGAGTGTGTGACCCCACCTTGCCCCTGTCCCACAACTGGTTCCCACTTTTCACGTGGTTACTCCAAAGCCCACTGCACTGGGGGAGAAGGCAGAGAAGAAAACGGAAGTAGTGCTCTGACCACTTTCTTTTCCCCAACCCCAACCCAGGAGGCCTACTCCATGGCCAGACAGTTCAATCTGATTCCTCCAGTGTGTGAACAAGCGGAGCACCATCTGTTTCAGAGGGAGAAGGTGGAGATGCAGCTGCCAGAGCTCTACCACAAGATTGGTTTGCAGCCCTCATCCCTGCCTTTACCTTAGCCTCATCCATGGCTAGGTCCTTTTCCTGACACCCAGTGTTCTTCCCTTAGGAGTTGGATCAGTCACTTGGTACCCTCTAGCCTGTGGTCTCATTACTAGCAAGTATGATGGGCGAGTCCCAGATACTTGCAGGGCCTCCATCAAGGTGAGATCTGGGGGCTCTCGATGGCAGGACTGGGCTATATGGGCTGCTTTGGGGGGAGTTACGGGGGGCTGCTTTGTGAGTGTGGTGGTGGTGGTGGTGATGGCGGGGTCTTCTGTTGATTCTTCTTGGCCTCCAGGGCTACCAGTGGCTCAAGGACAAAGTGCAGAGTGAAGATGGCAAGAAGCAACAAGCCAAAGTCATGGACCTTCTTCCTGTCGCTCACCAGCTGGGCTGCACCGTGGCCCAGCTTGCTATTGGTGAGACATTGCACCCTGCAGGGGCCCTGTCTCCTCCTGACATGCTCCCAAGCCCATCCTAAAACTGGTTTGTCCCTAGGGAGGACGCTTGTCTTCAGAGACACTTCTGAAATCTATGTGGTCACTGTTCCCCATCAGTCCTCTTTTTTTCCTCCTCTGGCCCCAGCGTGGTGTCTCCGCAGTGAGGGTGTCAGCTCTGTCTTGCTGGGGGTGTCGAGTGCGGAGCAGTTGATAGAACACCTGGGCGCGCTACAGGTGAGCCGGGGACTCAGAGGCAGAGCCTATCTGTCCCCCTCCCCAGGAGTCAAAGCCACGCTATCCAACCCAGGATGGCTCTATCAGGTCACCCACTACAAAGTCCTCACTTTGCAGGTGAGAGGTCCCAGGGCCGGAAAGCGAGGCACCGGCACAGCTGCGGCTCTTGCCTTGCCACTTGACCCCACTGTGGTGCTTCCCCGGCTACTGGAACCCCATGCCCTTTCTCAGTGACCCAGCATGGGCTGCCGTCGCCACCGTCCCACTCTCCTCCAGGTGCTGAGCCAGCTGACCCCGCAGACAGTGATGGAAATAGACGGGCTCCTGGGAAACAAGCCGCATTCCAAGAAGTAGTCTGTCGCGGGCGCAGGGACCCAACCCGGTGTCGCTGCACCCGCCCGAGCCCCGCTCCTCGCAGCCGCCTCTCCCGCTCCGGATCCCTCCACGCAGCGGCCGGAGCCAGACTAGCCCCGCCCACCAACGAGTCCCGGCTTCGAGTAGTGATACGCATGAACAAAGCCATATCCTTTTGCAGTGGGGTCGAGAGAGAAAGTAGCACGCCCGCCCCCTGCTGCGTCTTTCTAGGCCCTTCTTGCAAATCCCGGGCATGAGCTACTCGCCGTCGGCTCTCTGCCACTTCGTCTCGCTCCCTACTCTCCTCCCCTTATTCCCGAGGCCCAGAAAAGAAAACAAAAACAAAAACCCAGCACATACAAGAAACATACAGTGTACCTCAAAAGGGGCCCTTGAAATGTCATCAAAGGGTAATAACCTAGTGAGTGAGTTGTGATGTCATCTGGAACATAGGAAATGGGGCTCTTAGCGTATTCGGTACGAAGGAAGCCAGGCTGGTCCTGGCAGGAAGTAAATGATAATCTTTGGGAAACCAGGACCCTGCCTCCCAGCCCAGAGGTGGAGGAGGGCGGTCAGGGTGGGGTCTACAGTGGCACAGCACTGACAAAGGTAGAGGGAAATGTAATAGCACATCTACGCTGCAGTCTGGTGAAAGTGGCCGGGGTGGTCCTTGGAAAACAGTTGGGCTGTTCTTGGCAGGAATTAGTGACAGCCTTTCCGTCACGGGCAGGGACGCCTTGATTTAAAAAAAATAAATAAATAAAACGTCTGGGTATAGACTTTTGAGCCTTGAGCAGGGCCTCCTACCTGGCAGTGGGGAACTGCAGTCTTCCTCCTGGCAATAAACCTAAAGCAATAATGATGGCCCCTTCTCTGTAAGACTTCCCAGGTAACTGTAAATAAACCTCAGCTTGATCCTCACAGTGTCTAAAGTTGCAGGGGCTTGGGAGGTTAGGGTCACAGTCTCACTTGTCTGGCCCTCTCGCCCCCTAACATTAGAAATCTGCTAGCATTAGCTTTCTCTCCATTGCTCATTCACCTTGGTGACCCAGGCATCGGGCTCCTAGTCACTGTTCTCATCAAGGACCAAGACACCAGATACCCCAGGCCCCAGTTTTCTTCCTTCAGCTACCACATTCCTTAGAACCCAGAAATCTGGCTTCATAATTTTGTTCCTCCTCTTTCTATGAAAGACTTAGCTATCTGCCTTTATTTGTTTGTATTTAAAGTAATATTAGCCATACTTGTTCCTTGTACTTCTCATTTCTCTCTCGCTGGACACCCACACATATGCCAAGGAACCTGTGGCTGAGGGGGAGATGCTGTTCTGAGGTTGAGGCTTTGTGATTTGGTGGAGAGGTAAAGTGAAGAATGGTCTGAGGTTGAGGGAATACAGAGAGAAGGAAAGATGTTATCATTTCACTGGAACAGAATTGGGTGGAAAGTTACAACCTTAAAGATCACAAGGTAGAGGAGGATGAGCTCTGCCTTCCTTAAATACAACCTGCCCATCTCCCTTCTACCCGTCCTCATCCCGCCTTGATCCAAAAGCTGGGCAAGCAAAGTAAAACCAATTTCCAAAAGAGAAAAGTCAGCAGCATGCCATTTACTGGATTAGCAGCCAACTGCATCAACTAATTAATACTTAAATCCACCCCATCATCTCCCACTCATTTTGCAAGACTGTGGAGGAAACAAAGAAGTAAAATATATTACTAAACTATGATTAGTTATTCTGTAACATACGAGAATTTATCAATCCCAAATAGGATTCTCCTTAAATAGTTATCTTAGAGGGTTATACACTTATTTTAATGAACCTGTCCCATTGCTCAAAATATTAAAAACAAACAAACACCATTCCTCCTAGAATTACCTTCAGAGAGAGTTTGGAAACGCCTTGATTTAAAAAAAAAAAAACAAAAAAAAAAGCCTTCCTTTATTGTCACGCCTCCTTTGTATATGGACATTTGCCATATTTATCACCCACCTCATTCATTAATTTAGCAAGTATTTGTCTATTGAGTCCTATTATGGTATAGCACAGGGATACAAGGGTGAACAAAACCAGACTCAGAACCTTCATATATCTTGCTGAGGAGAGAGACAATCACAGAACCACCAAATAAATACAAACTTCTTGTCCAAAGTCCAGAGGAAAGCACATGGTATTACTGAGTCTGTAGTGGTTATTTGACATGGTGAGGTTACGCTGAGAGCTGAAGCATGAATAGGTGTTAATAAGGGTTAAGCAAGAGGGTTAAGAGCATATGCTAAGGCCTGTGGCAGAAAAGAACATACAAGCCAAAAGTACCCAAAGCCAGAGTGTCTAGAGAGGAACAGAACAGAAAGTGAGACATGGGTAATGGCTGGGTGCGGTGGCTCACGCCTGTAATCCCAGTACTTTGGGAGGCTGAGGCTGGTGGATCACTTGAGGTCAGGAGTTTGAGACCAGCCTGGCCAACATGGCGAAAACCTATCTCTACTAAAAATAAAAAATAAAAATAAAAATAAAAATTAGCCAGGCATGGTGACACCCACCTGTAGTCCCAGCTACTCAGAAGGCTGAGGCAGGAGAATCACTTGAGCCCAGGAGGCAGAGGTTGCAATGAGCTGAGATTGCACCACTGCATTCCAGCCTGGGCGACGGAGCAAGACTCTGTCTGGAAGGAAGGAAGGAAGGAAGGGGTAAGTTCAGAACACACAGGGACTTACAGGGCACATTACAATGTTATATTTATCTAGGCTGGGCGCAGTGGCTCACACCTGTAATCCAAGCACTTTGGGAGGCCAAGGCAGGTGGGATCACTTGAGCCCAGGGGTTCAAGACCAGCCTGGACAACATGGGGAGACCCCATCTCTACAAAAATACAAGAATTAGCTGAGCATGGTAGCTCATACCTGTGTAGTCCCAGCTACTCGGAGCCTGAGGTAGGTAGGTGGCTTGAGTCTGGGAGATCAAGGCTGTAGTGAGCCAAGATTATGCCACTACACTCCAGCCTGATGCTCAGAGCAAGCTCCTGTCTCAAAAAATATATTTATCATACAGGGAAAAAAAAACAGTAGGAAACCCTCTATATCCGTTATCTATTGATACACAACAAATCACCACCAAAGTTAATGGCCTGAGATAACTTTTTATTTATTTTTATTTTATTTTATTTGAGATGGAGTCTCGCTCTGTCACTCAGGCTGGAGTACAGTTGCATGATCTCAGCTCATTGCAACCTCCCTCTCCCGGGTTCAAGCGATTCTCCTGCCTCACCCTCCTGAGTAGCTGGGACTACAGGCGAGTGCCACCATGCTCAACTAATTTTTTGTATTTTTAGTAGAGACAGGGTTTCACCATCTTGGCCAGGCTGGTCTTGAACTCCTGGTGATCCACCTGCCTCGGCCTCCCAAAGTGCTGGGATTACAGGCGTGAGCCACCACACCCAGCCACTATTTATTTATTTATTTATTTATTTATTTATTTAGAGATGGAGTCTCGCTCTGTCGCCAGACTGGAGTGCAGTGGCGATCTTGGCTCACTGCAACCTCCGACTCCCTAGTTCAAGCGATTCTCCTGCCTCAGCCTCCCCAGTAGCTGGGATTACAGATACGTGCCACCACGCCCAGCTAATTTTTGTTTTTTTAGTAGAGACGGGATTTCACCTTGTTGTCCAGGAGGGTCTTGATCTCCTGATCTTGTGATCTGCCTGCCTCAGCCTCCCAAAGTGCTGGGATTACAGGCGTGAGCCACCGCGCCCAGCCACTTTTTATTTATTTTTAAGAGGCGGGGGTCTCGCTCTGTCACCCAGGCTGGAGTGCACTGACATGATCACGGCTCAGTGCAGCTTCGAAGTCCTGAGGCTCAAGTGATCCTCCCACCTCAGCCTACTGAGTAGCTGGGACGATGTGCACCACTGAGCCTGGCTTTTTTCTTTTTTTTTGTAATGATGGGGTCTCACCACGATTCCCAGGCTGATCTCAAATTCCCGAGCTCAAGTTATCCTTCCATCTTGGCCTCCCATAGTGCTAGGATTACAGGTGTGAGCCACCACACTCAGTAGAAATAACTTTTAAAAACTGTTCTTTTTCACGATTCTATGGGCTTGCTGGGAGTTCCTTTGCTGTTTTCACCTAGGCTCACTCACGTGGCTGCACTCAAATGGCAGGTGAGCCAAGCAGGAAAATGCAAAATGGCCTCACCAGCATGTCTGGTTGTTGGCTGGCGCTCCTCCGTGTGGCCTCATCCTCACATGGTGGTCTCAGGGAGTGTTCCAAGGGGACAAAAGCAGAAGCTACAAGGCCTCTGAAGGACTAGGTTCCAGAACTCACACATCACTTCTGCCACATCTATTGGTCAAAACTAGTTACAAGACCAGCCCAGATTCAAGGGATAGAGAAAGAGACCCCAATTCTTGATGTGAGATGCAGCAAAGTCACATTGCAAAGGAATTTGGGGCCACCATTAATCTACCACCACATTAAAAGCTTTTTTTTTTTTTTTTGAGATAGAGTCTCACCCTGTCGCCCAGGCTGCAGTACACTGGCACGATCTCAGCTCACTGCAATCTCTGTCTCCTGGGTTCAAGCAATTCTCCCACCTCAGCCTCCTGAGTAGCTGGGACTACAGGTGCACGCCGCCACGCCCAGCTAATTTTTTGTATTTTAGTAGAGACAGGGTTTCCCTGTGTTGCCCAGGCTGGTCGTGAACTCCTAAGCTTAGGCAATCTGCCCGTCTCTGCCTCCCAAAGTGCTGGGATTACAGGCGTAAGCCACCACACTCGGCCCATCATGTATTTATTAACAATAGATACCTACCAGTTCCCCCTTTTTTTTTTTTTTTTGAGACCGAGTCTCATTCTGTTGCTCAGTCTGGAGTGCAGTGGCGTGATCTCGGCTCACTGCAACCTCCACCTCCCAGGTTCAAGCAATTCTCGTGCCTCAGCCTCCCAAATAGCTGGGACTACAGGTGTGAGCCACCACCCCCGGCTAATTTTTGTATTTTTAGTAGAGATGGGGTTTCACCATTTGGCCAGGCTGGTCTTGAACTCCTGACCTCAAGTGATCCACCCACCTCGGCCTCCCAAAATGCTGGGATTACAGGCAAGAGCCACCATGCCTGGCCCTACCAGTCCTTTTTTAAGACCAAAAAGTTTTGAATTGTGACAGCATCACTGTAATAAGTAGACAGCTTCTCCCATGATCACAGACAATACCATTCAAAAGTTCTGAAATGTTTGCTTAAAAATGATGGTATACCTCCTCAAAAGAGATTACCCTCTAGGTTTTAACAATTTAGGTTTAAAAACCAGCTTTGCATTGCCTGTGATAGCTGGTAAATGCCATGGGTGTGGAGAAGCTCATCATGCACATATTGGTCAAGATGGATGGGTGTTGAAAATGTTGGGTACTGGCCGGGCGCGGTGGCTCACGCCTGTAATCCCAGCACTTTGAGAGGCCGAGGCGGGCGGATCACCAGGTCAGGAGATCGAGACCATCCTGGCTAACACATTGAAACCCCGTCTCTACTAAAAATACAAAAAATTAGCTGGGCGTGGTGGTGGGCGCCTGTAGTCCCAGCTACTCGGGAGGCTGAGGCAGGAGAATGGCATGAACCCGGGAGGCGGAGCTTGCAGTGAGCCGAGATGGTGCCACTGCACTCCAGCCTGGGCAACCCAGCAAGACTCCGTCTCAAAAAAAAAAAAAAAAGAAAAAAAAGAAAATGTTGGGTACTCAGAAGTTAATGTGAATTCAGTATAGGCTGGGGGCACAGGATAACAATAGTAGCTAATATAGTACTTACCTGGTGTTTTACTGTGTACTGGACACCATTTGAAGCACCTTACACATATAAGTTCATTCAGTCCTCATTATTATTATCCACATTTTTAAAACTAGGAAACCAAGGCCCAGAGAAATTAAGTAACTTGCTCAAAGTGTCACAACTAGTAAGAGGTGGAAGCTAGGATCTGAACTCAAGCCAGCTGGCTCTAGACTGTGTTATCACCCTCCATAACAGAACCTGGGCTGCAGGTCCAGGAGAGGAGGGTGAGGAGGCAGCTGTGTGTGGGTGTGGCACCATGAGGGGAATGTGGGTTGTGAGTACCATGTCCTGTTTACCAGTGGGAGAAGTCAGACCCCTGAGTCAGAACTTATGCTGGGGAGCTTTGCTGGGGCCATCACGATGTGTGGGTGTCCAGGCCTCCGGAAGGAAAGGATTCCCAGCATTCCTAAAGCCATGGTCCTGGCATCTAGGTCCCTCCTTAGGCTGAGATACCAGCTGAGAGTTAAGCAGTTTGGGGAGAATGAAGTTTAGGAAGCCAGCCTTACAAACAACACAGAGAGGTCATCTATAATGAGAATTGAGGGCAAAATCGATTCAAAGGCCCAGGGACCACTAAAGGTTGGGCAGAACGGGCCGTGTTTGGAAACTGGGTGGGATTGTGAAACTAACTGCGAGCAACTGAATAGGCGGAGGGGGCTTTAGAGACTTGTGCCAGTGACTGAGGGCTCAGGCGCAGAGAGAGACCCGGGGCTTTGTACATGGTAGAATTAAGGAGCGCTGGCGTTGCGTTGGGGGAAGAAGGAAAGCCCCACCCCGCTCCCCCGGGAGTAGGGAGGAATGGGTGCTTTGGCCCCCAGGGCTCCGGTCCTGGCATGGCCTGGGCCGCCTCCCCGACTCCATCATTGCTGTCATTCCCGGCCTCAAGCCTCCACCGCCCCCACACGTGCCGCCACAGGGAGCGGCCCGATCAAGGCGTGACGCTCCGAAGGGTGGGGCCTCACTTATTCCCCTATTTAAAGGGGAAAGAGGCCGCGGCGCCGGCCCCAGGACCCGACCCGGCCCCAGGAGAGTGTGCTCGTTCTGTTCACGGAGCTGGCCGCGTTAGCGACGTCCTCGAGTCCGCGGCGGGCACGATGCAGCTCTTGGTGAGGGTACCCTCTCTTCCGGAGCGGGGCGAGCTGGACTGCAACATCTGCTACCGTCCTTTCAACCTCGGGTGCCGCGCGCCCCGCCGCCTGCCCGGAACGGCGCGCGCCCGCTGCGGCCACACGATCTGCACCGCCTGCCTCCGCGAGCTGGCGGCGCGCGGGGACGGCGGCGGGGCGGCCGCGCGCGTGGTGCGCCTGCGCCGCGTGGTCACGTGCCCCTTCTGCCGCGCGCCCTCGCAGCTCCCTCGCGGCGGCCTCACGGAGATGGCTCTTGACTCGGACTTGTGGTCGCGATTGGAGGAAAAAGCGCGGGCCAAGTGCGAACGAGATGAGGCTGGGAACCCGGCCAAGGAAAGCAGCGACGCTGACGGAGAGGCGGAGGAAGAAGGGGAGAGCGAGAAGGGGGCGGGGCCTAGGAGTGCTGGGTGGCGCGCGCTCCGGCGGCTCTGGGACAGGGTCCTGGGGCCTGCGCGGCGCTGGCGGCGTCCGCTGCCTAGCAACGGTGAGGGGCTGCCCGGGGAGGATGCAGGGGAGAGAGCGCCGAGGAATACCGAGGTTCGTTGGCATGCTCCTGCTGCCACTAACCCTTCTTCTTTCCCCCAGTGCTCTACTGTGCGGAGATCAAGGACATTGGCCACCTGACCCGTTGCACGTTGTAACCGAGGAACTCGGAAGCTACAGCCGAAGGAAGGTGGGAGCTGCAGCCTCGCGGGGGCTGATGTCAAGACTACTCTCTCTCAGATCCCAGGATTGGCATGTGATGAGAGAGATGAGCCGAAGGCAGGAGGGAACGCCCTGGGAGGTGTTGATGCTGAGTTGGGGAGGCT